>NC_000018.10:16246232-16431152 GCF_000001405.40 Homo sapiens
TAAATAAAGCCCAAGAAGTGGCAAATTTAATTTATTGTGATGGAAATTGTTAGAACAGTGGTTGCCCCTGGAAGGCGACAGGGTTGTGTGAAAGGGCTATGAAAGAATTTTCCAGGGCCATAGAAACATTCTAAATTTTGTTTGGCATGATGGTTGTGTGGGTGTATACAAGTCAAAACCCATTAAATTGAATGCTTAAGATCTGTGCATTTTAATGTATATATTCTTTAAATCACATAGAACACACAAGTCCACCTATCTCAAACTCAGTCCCGTCTGCCCTATGCAAAATATTCAATTTGTCAACATTCTCATTACCATTTTTATTGCTTTTTTTCTGCCTCTTTTCCTTTGTTTCTCCCAACAAGCCAACCTCTAACATACCAGGCAGTCTTCATGAATGTTTTCAGCCAAGTTGTGAAGAATCAAACTCTACATAGAAGAGAAGTGAAATGAAAGAAATGAAAGAAAGGAAGGGAAGAAAGGAGGGAGGGATGGGGGAGGCGTGGGAGCGCCCCTTTTGTAGTATCTGGAACTGGACTTTTGGAGCGATTTCAGGGCTAAGGTGAAAAAGGAAATATCTTCCCATAAAAACTGGACAGAAGAGCATTCTCAGAAACTTGTTTATGCTGTATCTACTCAACTAACAAAGTTGAACCTTTCTTTTGATAGAGCAGTTTTGAAATGGTCTTTTTGTGGAATCTGCAAGTGGATATTTGGCTAGTTTTGAGGATTTCGTTGGAAGCGGGAATTCATACAAATTGCAGACTGCAGCGTTCTGAGAAACATCTTTGTGATGTTTGTATTCAGGACACAGAGTTGAACATTCCCTATCATAGAGCAGGTTGGAATCACTCCTTTTGTAGTATCTGGAAGTGGACATTTGGAGCGCTTTCAGGCCTATTTTGGAAAGGGAAATATCTTCCCGTAACAACTATGCAGAAGCATTCTCAGAAACTTGTTTGTGATGTGTGCCCTCTACTGACAGAGTTGAACCTTTCTTTTCATAGAGCAGTTTTGAAACACTCTTTTTGTAGAATCTGCAAGAGGATATTTGCATAGCTTTGAGGATTTCGTGGGAAACGGGATTGTCTTCAGGTAAAATCTAGACAGAAGCATTCTCAGAAACTTCTTTGGGATGTTTGCATTCAAGTCACAGAGTAGAACATTCCCTTTGGTAGAGCAGGTTTGAAACACTCTTTTTGTAGTATCTGGAAGTGGACATTTGGAGCGCTTTCAGGCCCATGTTGGAAAGGGAAATATCTTCCCGTAACAACTAGGCAGAAGCATTCTCAGAAACTTATTTGAGATGTGTGTACTCAACTAAGAGAATTGAACCACCGTTTTGAAGGAGCAGTTTTGAAACACTCTTTTTCTGGAATCTGCAAGAGTATATTTGCCTAGCCTTGAGGATTTCGTTGGAAACGGGATTGTCTTCAGAGAAAATCTAGACAGAAGCATTCTCAGAAACTTCTTTGGGATGTTTGCATTCAAGTCACAGAGTAGAACATTCCCTTTGGTAGAGCAGGTTTGAAACACTCTTTTTTTAGTATATGGAAGTGGACATTTGGAGCGCTTTCAGGCCTACGTTGGAAAAGGAAATATCTTCCCATAACAACTAGACAGAAGCATTCTCAGAAACTAGTTTCTGATGTGTGTCCTCAACTAACACAGTTGTACATTTCTTTAGACAGAACAGTTTTGAAACACTCTTTTTGTGGAATCTGCAAGTGGATATTGGGCTAGATTTGAGGATTTCGTTGGAAACGGGATTACATATAAAAAGCAGTCAGCAGCATTCTCAGAAAGTTCTTTGTGATGATTGCATTCAAGTCACAGAATTGAACATTCCCTTTCACAGAGCAGGTTTGAAACACTCTTTTTGTAGTGTGTGTAAGTGGACATTTGGAGCGCTTTCCGGCCTAAGGTGAAAAAGGACATATCTTCCCATAAAAACTAGACAGAAGCATTCTCAGAAACTTACTCGTGATGTGTGTCCTCAACTAAAGGAGTAGAACCTTTCTATTCATAGAGAAGTTTTGAAACGCTCTTTTTGTGGAATCTCCAAGTGGATATTTGGTTAGTTTTGAGGATTTCGTTGGAAGCGGGAATTCATACAAATTGCAGACTGCAGCGTTCTGAGAAACATCTTTGTGATGTTTGTATTCAGGACACAGAGATGAACATTCCCTATCATAGAGCAGGTTGGAATCACTCCTTTTGTAGTATCTGGAAGTGGACATTTGGAGCGCTTTCAGGCCTATGTTGAAAAAGGAAATATCTTCCCATAACAACTAGACACAAGCATTCTCAGAAACTTGTTTGTGATGTGTGCCCTCTACTGACAGAGTTGAACCTTTCTTTTCATAGAGCAGTTTTGAAACACTCTTTTTGTAGAATCCGCAAGAGGATATTTGCATCGCTTTGAGGAATTCGTGGGAAACGGGATTGTCTTCAGGTAAAATCTAGACAGAAGCATTCTCAGAAACTTCTTTGGGATGTTTGCATTCAAGTCACAGAGTAGAACATTCCCTTTGGTAGAGCAGGTTTGAAACACTCTTTTTGTAGTATCTGGAAGTGGACATTTGGAGCGCTTTCAGGCCCATGTTGGAAAGGGAAATATCTTCCCGTAACAACTAGGCAGAAGAATTCTCTGAAACTTTTTTGAGATGTGTGTACTCAACTAAGAGAATTGAACCACCGTTTTGAAGGAGCAGTTTTGAAACACTCTTTTTCTGGAATCTGCTAGAGGATATTTGCCTAGCTTTGAGGATTTCGTTGGAAACGGGATTGTCTTCAGATAAAATCTAGACAGAAGCATTCTCAGAAACTTCTTTGGGATGTTTGCATTCAAGTCACAGAGTAGAACATTCCCTTTGGTAGAGCAGGTTTGAAACACTCTTTTTTTAGTATATGGAAGTGGACATTTGGAGCGCTTTCAGGCCTACGTTGGAAAAGGAAATATCTTCCCATAACAACTAGACAGAAGCATTCTCAGAAACTAGTTTCTGATGTGTGTCCTCAACTAACACAGTTGCACATTTCTTTATACAGAACAGTTTTGAAACACTCTTTTTGTGGAATCTGCAAGTGGATATTGGGCTAGATTTGAGGATTTCGTTGGAAACGGGATTGCATATAAAAAGCAGACAGCAGCATTCTCAGAAAGTTCTTTGTGATGATTGCATTCAAGTCACAGAATTGAACATTCCCTTTCACAGAGCAGGTTTGAAACACTCTTTTTGTAGTGTGTGTAAGTGGACATTTGGAGCGCTTTCCGGCCTAAGGTGAAAAAGGACATATCTTCCCATAAAAACTAGACAGAAGCATTCTCAGAAACTTACTCGTGATGTGTGTCCTCAACTAAAGGAGTAGAACCTTTCTATTCATAGAGAAGTTTTGAAACGCTCTTTTTGTGGAATCTCCAAGTGGATATTTGGCTAGTGTTGAGGATTTCGTAGGAAGCGGGAATTCATACAAATTGCAGACTGCAGCGTTCTGAGAAACATCTTTGTGATGTTTGTATTCAGGACACAGAGATGAACATTCCCTATCATAGAGCAGGTTGGAATCACTCCTTTTGTAGTATCTGGAAGTGGACATTTGGAGCGCTTTCAGGCCTATGTTGAAAAAGGAAATATCTTCCCATAACAACTAGACACAAGCATTCTCAGAAACTTGTTTGTGATGTGTGCCCTCTACTGACAGAGTTGAACCTTTCTTTTCATAGAGCAGTTTTGAAACACTCTTTTTGTAGAATCTGCAAGAGGATATTTGCATAGCTTTGAGGATTTCGTGGGAAACGGGATTGTCTTCAGGTAAAATCTAGACAGAAGCATTCTCAGAAACTTCTTTGGGATGTTTGCATTCAAGTCACAGAGTAGAACATTCCCTTTGGTAGAGCAGGTTTGAAACACTCTTTTTGTAGTATCTGGAAGTGGACATTTGGAGCGCTTTCAGGCCCATGTTGGAAAGGGAAATATCTTCCCGTAACAACTAGGCAGAAGCATTCTCAGAAACTTATTTGAGATGTGTGTACTCAACTAAGAGAATTGAACCACCGTTTTGAAGGAGCAGTTTTGAAACACTCTTTTTCTGGAATCTGCAAGAGTATATTTGCCTAGCCTTGAGGATTTCGTTGGAAACGGGATTGTCTTCAGAGAAAATCTAGACAGAAGCATTCTCAGAAACTTCTTTGGGATGTTTGCATTCAAGTCACAGAGTAGAACATTCCCTTTGGTAGAGCAGGTTTGAAACACTCTTTTTTTAGTATATGGAAGTGGACATTTGGATCGCTTTCAGGCCTACGTTGGAAAAGGAAATATCTTCCCATAACAACTAGACAGAAGCATTCTCAGAAACTAGTTTCTGATGTGTGTCCTCAACTAACACAGTTGAACATTTCTTTAGACAGAACAGTTTTGAAACACTCTTTTTGTGGAATCTGCAAGTGGCTATTTGGCTGGATTTGAGGATTTCGTTGGAAACGGGATTACATATAAAAAGCAGTCAGCAGCATTCTCAGAAAGTTCTTTGTGATGATTGCATTCAAGTCACAGAATTGAACATTCCCTTTCACAGAGCAGGTTTGAAAGACTCTTTTTGTAGTGTGTGTAAGTGGACATTTGGAGCACTTACCGGCCTAAGGTGAAAAAGGAAATATCTTCCCATAAAAACTAGACAGAAGCATTCTCAGAAACTTACTCGTGATGTGTGTCCTCAACTAAAGGAGTAGAACCTTTCTTTTCATAGAGAAGTTTTGAAACGCTCTTTTTGTGGAATCTGCAAGTGGATATTTGGCTAGTTTTGAGGATTTCGTTGGAAGCGGGAATTCATACAAATTGCAGACTGCAGCGTTCTGAGAAACATCTTTGTGATGTTTGTATTCAGGACACAGAGTTGAACATTCCCTATCATAGAGCAGGTTGGAATCACTCCTTTTGTAGTATCTGGAAGTGGACATTTGGAGCGCTTTCAGGCCTATGTTGGAAAAGGAAATATCTTCCCATAACAACTAGACAGAAGCATTCTCAGAAACTTATTTGAGATGTGTGTACTCAACTAAGAGAATTGAACCACCGTTTTGAAGGAGCAGTTTTGACACACTCTTTTTCTGGAATCTGCAAGTGGATATTTGGCTAGCTTTGGGGATTTCGCTGGAAGCGGGAATACATATAAAAAGCACACAGCAGCGTTCTGAGAAACTGCTTTCTGATGTTTGCATTCAAGTCAAAAGTTGAACACTCCCTTTCATAGAGCAGTCTTGAAACACCCCTTTTGTAGTATCTGGAACTGGACTTTTGGAGCGATTTCAGGGCTAAGGTGAAAAAGGAAATATCTTCCCATAAAAACTGGACAGAAGCATTCTCAGAAACTTGGTTATGCTGTATCTACTCAACTAACAAAGTTGAACCTTTCTTTTGATAGAGCAGTTTTGAAATGGTCTTTTTGTGGAATCTGCAAGTGGATATTTGGCTAGTTTTGAGGATTTCGTTGGAAGCGGGAATTCATACAAATTGCAGACTGCAGCGTTCTGAGAAACATCTTTGTGATGTTTGTATTCAGGACACAGAGTTGAACATTCCCTATCATAGAGCAGGTTGGAATCACTCCTTTTGTAGTATCTGGAAGTGGACATTTGGAGCGCTTTCAGGCCTATTTTGGAAAGGGAAATATCTTCCCGTAACAACTATGCAGAAGCATTCTCAGAAACTTGTTTGTGATGTGTGCCCTCTACTGACAGAGTTGAACCTTTCTTTTCATAGAGCAGTTTTGAAACACTCTTTTTGTAGAATCTGCAAGAGGATATTTGCATAGCTTTGAGGATTTCGTGGGAAACGGGATTGTCTTCAGGTAAAATCTAGACAGAAGCATTCTCAGAAACTTCTTTGGGATGTTTGCATTCAAGTCACAGAGTAGAACATTCCCTTTGGTAGAGCAGGTTTGAAACACTCTTTTTGTAGTATCTGGAAGTGGACATTTGGAGCGCTTTCAGGCCTATGTTGGAAAGGGAAATATCTTCCCGTAACAACTAGGCAGAAGCATTCTCAGAAACTTATTTGAGATGTGTGTACTCAACTAAGAGAATTGAACCACCGTTTTGAAGGAGCAGTTTTGAAACACTCTTTTTCTGGAATCTGCAAGAGGATATTTGCCTAGCCTTGAGGATTTCGTTGGAAACGGGATTGTCTTCAGATCAAATCTAGACAGAAGCATTCTCAGAAACTTCTTTGGGATGTTTGCATTCATGTCACAGAGTAGAACATTCCCTTTGGTAGAGCAGGTTTGAAACACTCTTTTTTTAGTATATGGAAGTGGACATTTGGAGCGCTTTCAGGCCTACGTTGGAAAAGGAAATATCTTCCCATAACAACTAGACAGAAGCATTCTCAGAAACTAGTTTCTGATGTGTGTCCTCAACTAACACAGTTGAACATTTCTTTAGACAGAACAGTTTTGAAACACTCTTTTTGTGGAATCTGCAAGTGGCTATTTGGCTAGATTTGAGGATTTCGTTGGAAACGGGATTACATATAAAAAGCAGACAGCAGCATTCTCAGAAAGTTCTTTGTGATGATTGCATTCAAGTCACAGAATTGAACATTCCCTTTCACAGAGCAGGTTTGAAACACTCTTTTTGTAGTGTGTGTAAGTGGACATTTGGAGCACTTTCCGGCCTAAGGTGAAAAAGGAAATATCTTCCCATAAAAACTAGACAGAAGCATTCTCAGAAACTTACTCGTGATGTGTGTCCTCAACTAAAGGAGTAGAACCTTTCTTTTCATAGAGAAGTTTTGAAACGCTCTTTTTGTGGAATCTGCAAGTGGATATTTGGCTAGTTTTGAGGATTTCGTTGGAAGCGGGAATTCATACAAATTGCAGACTGCAGCGTTCTGAGAAACATCTTTGTGATGTTTGTATTCAGGACACAGAGTTGAACATTCCCTATCATAGAGCAGGTTTGAATCACTCCTTTTGTAGTATCTGGAAGTGGACATTTGGAGCGCTTTCAGGCATATGTTGGAAAAGGAAATATCTTCCCATAACAACTAGACAGAAGCATTCTCAGAAACTTATTTGAGATGTGTGTACTCAACTAAGAGAATTGAACCACCGTTTTGAAGGAGCAGTTTTGAAACACTCTTTTTCTGGAATCTGCAAGTGGATATTTGGCTAGCTTTGGGGATTTCGCTGGAAGCGGGAATACATATAAAAAGCACACAGCAGCGTTCTGAGAAACTGCTTTCTGATGTTTGCATTCAAGTCAAAAGTTGAACACTCCCTTTCATAGAGCAGTCCTGAAACACTCCTTTTGTAGTATCTGGAACTGGACATTTGGAGCGCTTTCAGGGCTAAGGTGAAAAAGGAAATATCTTCCCATAAAAACTGGACAGAAGCATTCTCAGAAACTTGTTTATGCTGTATCTACTCTACTAAAAAAGTTGAACCTTTCTTTTGATAGAGCAGTTTTGAAATGCTCTTTTTGTGGAATCTGCAATTGGATATTTGGCTAGATTTGAGGATTTCGTTGGAAGCTGGAATACATACAAATTGCAGACTGCAGCGTTCTGAGAAACATCTTTGTGATGTTTGTATTCAGGACACAGAGTTGAACATTCCCTATCATAGAGCAGGTTGGAATCACTCCTTTTGTAGTATCTGGAAGTGGACATTTGGAGCGCTTTCTGGCCTATGTTGAAAAAGGAAATATCTTCCCATAACAACTAGACACAAGCATTCTCAGAAACTTGTTTGTGATGTGTGCCCTCTACTGACAGAGTTGAACCTTTCTTTTCATAGAGCAGTTTTGAAACACTCTTTTTGTAGAATCTGCAAGAGGATATTTGCATAGCTTTGAGGATTTCGTGGGAAACGGGATTGTCTTCAGGTAAAATCTAGACAGAAGCATTCTCAGAAACTTCTTTGGGATGTTTGCATTCAAGTCACAGAGTAGAACATTCCCTTTGGTAGAGCAGGTTTGAAACACTCTTTTTGTAGTATCTGGAAGTGGACATTTGGAGCGCTTTCAGGCCTATGTTGGAAAGGGAAATATCTTCCCGTAACAACTAGGCAGAAGCATTCTCAGAAACTTATTTGAGATGTGTGTACTCAACTAAGAGAATTGAACCACCGTTTTGAAGGAGCAGTTTTGAAACACTCTTTTTCTGGAATCTGCAAGAGTATATTTGCCTAGCCTTGAGGATTTCGTTGGAAACGGGATTGTCTTCAGAGAAAATCTAGACAGAAGCATTCTCAGAAACTTCTTTGGGATGTTTGCATTCAAGTCACAGAGTAGAACATTCCCTTTGGTAGAGCAGGTTTGAAACACTCTTTTTTTAGTATATGGAAGTGGACATTTGGAGCGCTTTCAGGCCTACGTTGGAAAAGGAAATATCTTCCCATAACAACTAGACAGAAGCATTCTCAGAAACTAGTTTCTGATGTGTGTCCTCAACTAACACAGTTGAACATTTCTTTAGACAGAACAGTTTTGAAACACTCTTTTTGTGGAATCTGCAAGTGGCTATTTGGCTAGATTTGAGGATTTCGTTGGAAACGGGATTACATATAAAAAGCAGTCAGCAGCATTCTCAGAATGTTCTTTGTGATGATTGCATTCAAGTCACAGAATTGAACATTCCCTTTCACAGAGCAGGTTTGAAACACTCTTTTTGTAGTGTGTGTAAGTGGACATTTGGAGCACTTACCGGCCTAAGGTGAAAAAGGAAATATCTTCCCATAAAAACTAGACAGAAGCATTCTCAGAAACTTACTCGTGATGTGTGTCCTCAACTAAAGGATTAGAACCTTTCTTTTCATAGAGAAGTTTTGAAACGCTCTTTTTGTGGAATCTGCAAGTGGATATTTGGCTAGTTTTGAGGATTTCGTTGGAAGCGGGAATTCATACAAATTGCAGACTGCAGCGTTCTCAGAAACATCGTTGTGATGTTTGTATTCAGGACACAGAGATGAACATTCCCTATCATAGAGCAGGTTGGAATCACTCCTTTTGTAGTATCTGGAAGTGGACATTTGGAGCGCTTTCAGGCCTATGTTGAAAAAGGAAATATCTTCCCATAACAACTAGACACAAGCATTCTCAGAAACTTATTTGAGATGTGTGTACTCAACTAAGAGAATTGAACCACCGTTTTGAAGGAGCAGTTTTGAAACACTCTTTTTCTGGAGTCTGCAAGTGGATATTTGGCTAGCTTTGGGGATTTCGCTGGAAGCGGGAATACATATAAAAAGCACACAGCAGCGTTCTGAGAAATTGATTTCTGATGTTTGCATTCAAGTCAAAAATTGAACACTCCCTTTCATAGAGCAGTCTTGAAACACCCCTTGTGTAGTATCTGGAACTGGACATTTGGAGCGCTTTCAGGGCTAAGGTGAAAAAGGAAATATCTTCCCATAAAAACTGGACAGAAGCATTCTCAGAAACTTGTTTATGCTGTATCTACTCAGCTAACAAAGTTGAACCTTTCTTTTGATAGAGCAGTTTTGAAATGCTCTTTTTGTGGAGTCTGCAAGTGGATATTTGGTTAGTTTTGAGGATTTCTTTGGAAGCGGGAATTCATACAAATTGCAGACTGCCAGCGTTCTGAGAACATCTTTGTGATGTTTGTATTCAGGACAGAGAGTTGAACATTCCCTATCATAGAGCAGGTTGGAATCACTCCTTTTGTAGTATCTGGAAGTGGACATTTGGAGCGCTTTCAGGCCTATTTTGGAAAGGGAAATATCTTCCCGTAACAACTATGCAGAGCATTCTCAGAAACTTGTTTGTGATGTGTGCCCTCTACTGACAGAGTTGAACCTTTCTTTTCATAGAGCAGTTTTGAAACACTCTTTTTGTAGAATCTGCAAGAGGATATTTGCATAGCTTTGAGGATTTCGTGGGAAACGGGATTGTCTTCAGGTAAAATCTAGACAGAAGCATTCTCAGAAACTTCTTTGGGATGTTTGCATTCAAGTCACAGAGTAGAACATTCCCTTTGGTAGAGCAGGTTTGAAACACTCTTTTTGTAGTATCTGGAAGTGGACATTTGGAGCGCATTCAGGCCCATGTTGGAAAGGGAAATATATTCCCGTAACAACTAGGCAGAAGCATTCTCAGAAACTTATTTGAGATGTGTGTACTCAACTAAGAGAATTGAACCACCGTTTTGAAGGAGCAGTTTTGAAACCCTCTTTTTCTGGAATCTGCAAGAGTATATTTGCCTAGCCTTGAGGATTTCGTTGGAAACGGGATTGTCTTCAGATAAAATCTAGACAGAAGCATTCTCAGAAACTTCTTTGGGATGTTTGCATTCAAGTCACAGAGTAGAACATTCCCTTTGGTAGAGCAGGTTTGAAACACTCTTTTTTTAGTATATGGAAGTGGACATTTGGAGCGCTTTCAGGCCTACGTTGGAAAAGGAAATATCTTCCCATAACAACTAGACAGAAGCATTCTCAGAAACTAGTTTCTGATGTGTGTCCTCAACTAACACAGTTGTACATTTCTTTATACAGAACAGTTTTGAAACACTCTTTTTGTGGAATCTGCAAGTGGATATTGGGCTAGATTTGAGGATTTCGTTGGAAACGGGATTACATATAAAAAGCAGACAGCAGCATTCTCAGAAAGTTCTTTGTGATGATTGCATTCAAGTCACAGAATTGAACATTCCCTTTCACAGAGCAGGTTTGAAAGACTCTTTTTGTAGTGTGTGTAAGTGGACATTTGGAGCACTTACCGGCCTAAGGTGAAAAAGGAAATATCTTCCCATAAAAACTAGACAGAAGCATTCTCAGAAACTTACTCGTGATGTGTGTCCTCAACTAAAGGAGTAGAAGCTTTCTATTCATAGAGAAGTTTTGAAACGCTCTTTTTGTGGAATCTCCACGTGGATATTTGGCTAGTTTTGAGGATTTCGTTGGAAGCGGGAATTCATACAAATTGCAGACTGCAGCGTTCTGAGAAACATCTTTGTGATGTTTGTATTCAGGACACAGAGATGAACATTCCCTATCATAGAGCAGGTTGGAATCACTCCTTTTGTAGTATCTGGAAGTGGACATTTGGAGCGCTTTCAGGCCTATGTTGAAAAAGGAAATATCTTCCCATAACAACTAGACACAAGCATTCTCAGAAACTTGTTTGTGATGTGTGCCCTCTACTGACAGAGTTGAACCTTTCTTTTCATAGAGCAGTTTTGAAACACTCTTTTTGTAGAATCTGCAAGAGGATATTTGCATAGCTTTGGGGATTTCGTGGGAAACGGGATTGTCTTCAGGTAAAATCTAGACAGAAGCATTCTCAGAAACTTCTTTGGGATGTTTGCATTCAAGTCACAGAGTAGAACATTCCCTTTGGTAGAGCAGGTTTGAAACCCTCTTTTTGTAGTATCTGGAAGTGGACATTTGGAGCGCTTTCAGGCCCATGTTGGAAAGGGAAATATCTTCCCGTAACAACTAGGCAGAAGCATTCTCAGAAACTTATTTGAGATGTGTGTACTCAACTAAGAGAATTGAACCACCGTTTTGAAGGAGCAGTTTTGAAACACTCTTTTTCTGGAATCTGCAAGAGGATATTTGCCTAGCCTTGAGGATTTCGTTGGAAACGGGATTGTCTTCAGATCAAATCTAGACAGAAGCATTCTCAGAAACTTCTTTGGGATGTTTGCATTCAAGTCACAGAGTAGAACATTCCCTTTGGTAGAGCAGGTTTGAAACACTCTTTTTTTAGTATATGGAAGTGGACATTTGGAGCGCTTTCAGGCCTACGTTGGAAAAGGAAATATCTTCCCATAACAACTAGACAGAAGCATTCTCAGAAACTAGTTTCTGATGTGTGTCCTCAACTAACACAGTTGAACATTTCTTTAGACAGAAGAGTTTTGAAACACTCTTTTTGTGGAATCTACAAGTGGATATTTGGCTAGATTTGAGGATTTCGTTGGAAACGGGATTACATATAAAAAGCAGACAGCAGCATTGTCAGAAAGTTCTTTGTGATGACTGCATTCAAGTCACAGAATTGAACATTCCCTTTCACAGAGCAGGTTTGAAACACTCTTTTTGTAGTGTGTGTAAGTGGACATTTGGAGCGCTTTCCGGCCTAAGGTGAAAAAGGAAATATCTTCCCATAAAAACTATACAGAAGCATTCTCAGAAACTTACTCGTGATGTGTGTCCTCAACTAAAGGAGTAGAACCTTTCTATTCATAGAGAAGTTTTGAAACGCTCTTTTTGTGGAATCTGCAAGTGGATATTTGGCTAGTTTTGAGGATTTCGTTGGAAGCGGGAATTCATACAAATTGCAGACTGCAGCGTTCTGAGAAACATCTTTGTGATGTTTGTATTCAGGACACAGAGTTGAACATTCCCTATCATAGAGCAGGTTGGAATCACTCCTTTTGTAGTATCTGGAAGTGGACATTTGGAGCGCTTTCAGGCCTATGTTGAAAAACGAAATATCTTCCCATAACAACTAGACACAAGCATTCTCAGAAACTTGTTTGTGATGTGTGCCCTCTACTGACAGAGTTGAACCTTTCTTTTCATAGAGCAGTTTTGAAACACTCTTTTTGTAGAATCTGCAAGACGATATTTGCATAGCTTTGAGGATTTCGTGGGAAACCGGATTGTCTTCAGGTAAAATCTAGACAGAAGCATTCTCAGAAACTTCTTTGTGATGTTTCCATTCAAGTCACAGAGTAGAACATTCCCTTTGGTAGAGCAGGTTTGAAACACTCTTTTTGTAGTATCTGGAAGTGGACATTTGGAGCGCTTTCAGGCCTATGTTGGAAAGGGAAATATCTTCCCGTAACAACTAGGCAGAAGCATTCTCAGAAACTTATTTGAGATGTGTGTACTCAACTAAGAGAATTGAACCACCGTTTTGAAGGAGCAGTTTTGAAACACTCTTTTTCTGGAATCTGCAAGAGTATATTTGCCTAGCCTTGAGGATTTCGTTGGAAACGGGATTGTCTTCAGATAAAATCTAGACAGAAGCATTCTCAGAAACTTCTTTGGGATGTTTGCATTCAAGTCACAGAGTAGAACATTCCCTTTGGTAGAGCAGGTTTGAAACACTCTTTTTTTAGTATATGGAAGTGGACATTTGGAGCGCTTTCAGGCCTACGTTGGAAAAGGAAATATCTTCCCATAACAACTAGACAGAAGCATTCTCAGAAACTAGTTTCTGATGTGTGTCCTCAACTAACACAGTTGTACATTTCTTTAGACAGAACAGTTTTGAAACACTCTTTTTGTGGAATCTGCAAGTGGATATTGGGCTAGATTTGAGGATTTCGTTGGAAACGGGATTACATATAAAAAGCAGTCAGCAGCATTCTCAGAAAGTTCTTTGTGATGATTGCATTCAAGTCACAGAATTGAACATTCCCTTTCACAGAGCAGGTTTGAAACACTCTTTTTATAGTGTGTGTAAGTGGACATTTGGAGCGCTTTCCGGCCTAAGGTGAAAAAGGACATATTCTTCCCATAAAAACTAGACAGAAAGCATTCTCAGAAACTTACTCGTGATGTGTGTCCTCAACTAAAGGAGTAGAACCTTTCTATTCATAGAGAAGTTTTGAAACGCTCTTTTTGTGGAATCTCCAAGTGGATATTTGGCTAGTTTTGAGGATTTCGTTGGAAGCGGGAATTCATACAAATTGCAGACTGCAGCGTTCTGAGAAACATCTTTGTGATGTTTGTATTCAGGACACAGAGTTGAACATTCCCTATCATAGAGCAGGTTGGAATCACTCCTTTTGTAGTATCTGGAAGTGGACATTTGGAGCGCTTTCAGGCCTATGTTGGAAAAGGAAATATCTTCCCATAACAACTAGACAGAAGCATTCTCAGAAACTTATTTGAGATGTGTGTACTCAACTAAGAGAATTGAACCACCGTTTTGAAGGAGCAGTTTTGAAACACTCTTTTTCTGGAATCTGCAAGTGGATATTTGGCTAGCTTTGGGGATTTCGCTGGAAGCGGGAATACATATAAAAAGCACACAGCAGCGTTCTGAGAAACTGCTTTCTGATGTTTGCATTCAAGTCAAAAGTTGAACACTCCCTTTCATAGAGCAGTCTTGAAACACCCCTTTTGTAGTATCTGGAACTGGACTTTTGGAGCGATTTCAGGGCTAAGGTGAAAAAGGAAATATCTTCCCATAAAAACTGGACAGAAGCATTCTCAGAAACTTGTTTATGCTGTATCTACTCAACTAACAAAGTTGAACATTTCTTTTGATAGAGCAGTTTTGAAATGCTCTTTTTGTGGAATCTGCAAGTGGATATTTGGCTAGTTTTGAGGATTTCGTTGGAAGCGGGAATTCATACAAATTGCAGACTGCAGCGTTCTGAGAAACAGCTTTGTGATGTTTGTATGCAGGACAGAGAGTTGAACATTCCCTATCATAGAGCAGGTTGGAATCACTCCTTTTGTAGTATCTGGAAGTGGACATTTGGAGCGCTTTCTGGCCTATGTTGAAAAAGGAAATATCTTCCCATAACAACTAGACACAAGCATTCTCAGAAACTTGTTTGTGATGTGTGCCCTCTGCTGACAGAGTTGAACCTTTCTTTTCATAGAGCAGTTTTGAAACACTCTTTTTGTAGAATCTGCAAGAGGATATTTGCATAGCTTTGAGGATTTCGTGGGAAACGGGATTGTCTTCAGGTAAAATCTAGACAGAAGCATTCTCAGAAACTTCTTTGGGATGTTTGCATTCAAGTCACAGAGTAGAACATTCCCTTTGGTAGAGCAGGTTTGAAACCCTCTTTTTGTAGTATCTGGAAGTGGACATTTGGAGCGCTTTCAGGCCCATGTTGGAAAGGGAAATATCTTCCCGTAACAACTAGGCAGAAGCATTCTCAGAAACTTATTTGAGATGTGTGTACTCAACTAAGAGAATTGAACCACCGTTTTGAAGGAGCAGATTTGAAACACTCTTTTTCTGGAATCTGCAAGAGTATATTTGCCTAGCCTTGAAGATTTCGTTGGAAACGGGATTGTCTTCAGATAAAATCTAGACAGAAGCATTCTCAGAAACTTCTTTGGGATGTTTGCATTCAAGTCACAGAGTAGAACATTCCCTTTGGTAGAGCAGGTTTGAAACACTCTTTTTTTAGTATATGGAAGTGGACATTTGGAGCGCTTTCAGGCCTACGTTGGAAAAGGAAATATCTTCCCATAACAACTAGACAGAAGCATTCTCAGAAACTAGTTTCTGATGTGTGTCCTCAACTAACACAGTTGAACTTTTCTTTAGACAGAACAGTTTTGAAACACTCTTTTTGTGGAATCTGCAAGTGGATATTTGGCTAGATTTGAGGATTTCGTTGGAAACGGGATTACATATAAAAAGCAGTCAGCAGCATTCTCAGAAAGATCTTTGTGATGATTGCATTCAAGTCACAGAATTGAACATTCCCTTTCACAGAGCAGGTTTGAAACACTCTTTTTGTAGTGTGTGTAAGTGGACATTTGGAGCACTTTCCGGCCTAAGGTGAAAAAGGAAATATCTTCCCATAAAAACTAGACAGAAGCATTCTCAGAAAGTTACTCGTGATGTGTGTCCTCAACTAAAGGAGTAGAACCTTTCTATTCATAGAGAAGGTTTGAAACGCTCTTTTTGTGGAATCTCCAAGTGGATATTTGGCTAGTTTTGAGGATTTCGTTGGATGCGGGAATTCATACAAATTGCAGACTGCAGCGTTCTGAGAAACATCTTTGTGATGTTTGTATTCAGGACACAGAGATGAACATTCCCTATCATAGAGCAGGTTGGAATCACTCCTTTTGTAGTATCTGGAAGTGGACATTTGGAGCGCTTTCAGGCCTATGTTGAAAAAGGAAATATCTTCCCATAACAACTAGACACAAGCATTCTCAGAAACTTGTTTGTGATGTGTGCCCTCTGCTGACAGAGTTGAACCTTTCTTTTCATAGAGCAGTTTTGAAACACTCTTTTTGTAGAATCTGCAAGAGGATATTTGCATAGCTTTGAGGATTTCGTGGGAAACGGGATTGTCTTCAGGTAAAATCTAGACAGAAGCATTCTCAGAAACTTCTTTGGGATGTTTGCATTCAAGTCACAGAGTAGAACATTCCCTTTGGTAGAGCAGGTTTGAAACCCTCTTTTTGTAGTATCTGGAAGTGGACATTTGGAGCGCTTTCAGGCCCATGTTGGAAAGGGAAATATCTTCCCGTAACAACGAGGCAGAAGCATTCTCAGAAACTTATTTGAGATGTGTGTACTCAACTAAGAGAATTGAACCACCGTTTTGAAGGAGCAGTTTTGAAACACTCTTTTTCTGGAATCTGCAAGAGTATATTTGCCTAGCCTTGAGAATTTCGTTGGAAACGGGATTGTCTTCAGATCAAATCTAGACAGAAGCATTCTCAGAAACTTCTTTGGGATGTTTGCATTCAAGTCACAGAGTAGAACATTCCCTTTGGTAGAGCAGGTTTGAAACACTCTTTTTTTAGTATATGGAAGTGGACATTTGGAGCGCTTTCAGGCCTACGTTGGAAAAGGAAATATCTTCCCATAACAACTAGACAGAAGCATTCTCAGAAACTAGTTTCTGATGTGTGTCCTCAACTAACACAGTTGAACTTTTCTTTAGACAGAACAGTTTTGAAACACTCTTTTTGTGGAATCTGCAAGTGGATATTTGGCTAGATTTGAGGATTTCGTTGGAAACGGGATTACATATAAAAAGCAGACAGCAGCATTCTCAGAAACTTCTTCTGTGGTGATTGCATTCAAGTCACAGAACTGAACATTCCCTTTCAGAGAGCAGGTTTGAAACACTCTTTTGTAGTGTCTGTAAGTGGACATTTGGAGCGCTTTCCGGCCTCAGGTGAAAAAGGAAATATCTTCCCATAAAAACTAGACAGAATCATTCTCAGAAACTTACTCGTGATGTGTGTCCTCAACTAAAGGAGTAGAACCTTTCTATTCATAGAGAAGTTTTGAAACGCTCTTTTTGTGGAATCTCCAAGTGGATATTTGGCTAGTTTTGAGGATTTCGTTGGAAGCGGGAATTCATACAAATTGCAGACTGCAGCGTTCTGAGAAACATCTTTGTGATGTTTGTATTCAGGACACAGAGATGAACATTCCCTATCATAGAGCAGGTTGGAATCACTCCTTTTGTAGTATCTGGAAGTGGACATTTGGAGCGCTTTCAGGCCTATGTTGAAAAAGGAAATATCTTCCCATAACAACTAGACACAAGCATTCTCAGAAACTTGTTTGTGATGTGTGCCCTCTACTGACAGAGTTGAACCTTTCTTTTCATAGAGCAGTTTTGAAACACTCTTTTTGTAGAATCTGCAAGAGGATATTTGCATAGCTTTGAGGATTTCGTGGGAAACGGGATTGTCTTCAGGTAAAATCTAGACAGAAGCATTCTCAGAAACTTCTTTGGGATGTTTGCATTCAAGTCACAGAGTAGAACATTCCCTTTGGTAGAGCAGGTTTGAAACCCTCTTTTTGTAGTATCTGGAAGTGGACATTTGGAGCGCTTTCAGGCCCATGTTGGAAAGGGAAATATCTTCCCGTAACAACTAGGCAGAAGCATTCTCAGAAACTTATTTGAGATGTGTGTACTCAACTAAGAGAATTGAACCACCGTTTTGAAGGAGCAGTTTTGAAACACTCTTTTTCTGGAATCTGCAAGAGGATATTTGCCTAGCCTTGAGGATTTCGTTGGAAACGGGATTGTCTTCAGATAAAATCTAGACAGAAGCATTCTCAGAAACTTCTTTGGGATGTTTGCATTCAAGTCACAGAGTAGAACATTCCCTTTGGTAGAGCAGGTTTGAAACACTCTTTTTTTAGTATATGGAAGTGGACATTTGGAGCGCTTTCAGGCCTACGTTGGAAAAGGAAATATCTTCCCATAACAACTAGACAGAAGCATTCTCAGAAACTAGTTTCTGATGTGTGTCCTCAACTAACACAGTTGTACATTTCTTTAGACAGAACAGTTTTGAAACAGTCTTTTTGTGGAATCTGCAAGTGCATATTTGGCCAGATTTGAGGATTTCGTTGGAAACGGGATTACGTATAAAAAGCAGTCAGCAGCATTCTCAGAAAGTTCTTTGTGATGATTGCATTCAAGTCACAGAATTGAACATTCCCTTTCACAGAGCAGGTTTGAAACACTCTTTTTGTAGTGTGTGTAAGTGGACATTTGGAGCGCTTTCCGGCCTAAGGTGAAAAAGGACATATCTTCCCATAAAAACTAGACAGAAGCATTCTCAGAAACTTACTCGTGATGTGTGTCCTCAACTAAAGGAGTAGAACCTTTCTATTCATAGAGAAGTTTTGAAACGCTCTTTTTGTGGAATCTGCAAGTCGATATTTGGCTAGTTTTTAGGATTTCGTTGGAAGCGGGAATTCATACAAATTGCAGACTGCAGCTTTCCGAGAAACATCTTTGTGATGTCTGTATTCAGGACACAGAGTTGAACATTCCCTATCATAGAGCAGGTTTGAATCACTCCTTTTGTAGTATCTGGAAGTGGACATTTGGAGCGCTTTCAGGCCTATGTTGGAAAAGGAAATATCTTCCCATAACAACTAGACAGAAGCATTCTCAGAAACTTATTTGAGATGTGTGTACTCAACTAAGAGAATTGAACCACCGTTTTGAAGGAGCAGTTTTGAAACACTCTTTTTCTGGAATCTGCAAGTGGATATTTGGCTAGCTTTGGGGATTTCGCTGGAAGCGGGAATACATATAAAAAGCACACAGCAGCGTTCTGAGAAACTGCTTTCTGATGTTTGCATTCAAGTCAAAAGTTGAACACTCCCTTTCATAGAGCAGTCTTGAAACACCCCTTTTGTAGTATCTGGAACTGGACTTTTGGAGCGATTTCAGGGCTAAGGTGAAAAAGGAAATATCTTCCCATAAAAACTGGACAGAAGCATTCTCAGAAACTTGTTTATGCTGTATCTACTCAACTAACAAAGTTGAACCTTTCTTTTGATAGAGCAGTTTTGAAATGGTCTTTTTGTGGAATCTGCAAGTGGATATTTGGCTAGTTTTGAGGATTTCGTTGGAAGCGGGAATTCATACAAATTGCAGACTGCAGCGTTCTGAGAAACATCTTTGTGATGTTTGTATTCAGGACACAGAGTTGAACATTCCCTATCATAGAGCAGGTTGGAATCACTCCTTTTGTAGTATCTGGAAGTGGACATTTGGAGCGCTTTCAGGCCTATTTTGGAAAGGGAAATATCTTCCCGTAACAACTATGCAGAAGCATTCTCAGAAACTTGTTTGTGATGTGTGCCCTCTACTGACAGAGTTGAACCTTTCTTTTCATAGAGCAGTTTTGAAACACTCTTTTTGTAGAATCTGCAAGAGGATATTTGCATAGCTTTGAGGATTTCGTGGGAAACGGGATTGTCTTCAGGTAAAATCTAGACAGAAGCATTCTCAGAAACTTCTTTGGGATGTTTGCATTCAAGTCACAGAGTAGAACATTCCCTTTGGTAGAGCAGGTTTGAAACACTCTTTTTGTAGTATCTGGAAGTGGACATTTGGAGCGCTTTCAGGCCCATGTTGGAAAGGGAAATATCTTCCCGTAACAACTAGGCAGAAGCATTCTCAGAAACTTATTTGAGATGTGTGTACTCAACTAAGAGAATTGAACCACCGTTTTGAAGGAGCAGTTTTGAAACACTCTTTTTCTGGAATCTGCAAGAGTATATTTGCCTAGCCTTGAGGATTTCGTTGGAAACGGGATTGTCTTCAGAGAAAATCTAGACAGAAGCATTCTCAGAAACCTCTTTGGGATGTTTGCATTCAAGTCACAGAGTAGAACATTCCCTTTGGTAGAGCAGGTTTGAAACACTCTTTTTTTAGTATATGGAAGTGGACATTTGGAGCGCTTTCAGGCCTACGTTGGAAAAGGAAATATCTTCCCATAACAACTAGACAGAAGCATTCTCAGAAACTAGTTTCTGATGTGTGTCCTCAACTAACACAGTTGAACTTTTCTTTAGACAGAACAGTTTTGAAACACTCTTTTTGTGGAATCTGCAAGTGGCTATTTGGCTAGATTTGAGGATTTCGTTGGAAACGGGATTACATATAAAAAGCAGACAGCAGCATTCTCAGAAAGTTCTTTGTGATGATTGCATTCAAGTCACAGAATTGAACATTCCCTTTCACAGAGCAGGTTTGAAACACTCTTTTTGTAGTGTGTGTAAGTGGACATTTGGAGCACTTACCGGCCTAAGGTGAAAAAGGAAATATCTTCCCATAAAAACTAGACAGAAGCATTCTCAGAAACTTACTCGTGATGTGTGTCCTCAACTAAAGGAGTAGAACCTTTCTTTTCATAGAGAAGTTTTGAAACGCTCTTTTTGTGGAAGCTGCAAGTGGATATTTGGCTAGTTTGGAGGATTTCGTTGGAAGCGGGAATTCATACAAATTGCAGACTGCAGCGTTCTGAGAAACATCTTTGTGATGTTTGTATTCAGGACACAGAGTTGAACATTCCCTATCATAGAGCAGGTTTGAATCACTCCTTTTGTAGTATCTGGAAGTGGACATTTGGAGCGCTTTCAGGCCTATGTTGGAAAAGGAAATATCTTCCCATAACAACTAGACAGAAGCATTCTCAGAAACTTATTTGAGATGTGTGTACTCAACTAAGAGAATTGAACCACCGTTTTGAAGGAGCAGTTTTGAAACTCTCTTTTTCTGGAATCTGCAAGTGGATATTTGGCTAGCTTTGGGGATTTCGCTGGAAGCGGGAATACATATAAAAAGCACACAGCAGCGTTCTGAGAAACTGCTTTCTGATGTTTGCATTCAAGTCAAAAGTTGAACACTCCCTTTCATAGAGCAGTCCTGAAACACCCCTTTTGTAGTATCTGGAACTGGACTTTTGGAGCGATTTCAGGGCTAAGGTGAAAAAGGAAATATCTTCCCATAAAAACTGGACAGAAGCATTCTCAGAAACTTGTTTATGCTGTATCTACTCAACTAACAAAGTTGAACCTTTCTTTTGATAGAGCAGTTTTGAAATGGTCTTTTTGTGGAATCTGCAAGTGGATATTTGGCTAGTTTTGAGGATTTCGTTGGAAGCGGGAATTCATACAAATTGCAGACTGCAGCGTTCTGAGAAACATCTTTGTGATGTTTGTATTCAGGACACAGAGTTGAACATTCCCTATCATAGAGCAGGTTGGAATCACTCCTTTTGTAGTATCTGGAAGTGGACATTTGGAGCGCTTTCAGGCCTATTTTGGAAAGGGAAATATCTTCCCGTAACAACTATGCAGAAGCATTCTCAGAAACTTGTTTGTGATGTGTGCCCTCTACTGACAGAGTTGAACCTTTCTTTTCATAGAGCAGTTTTGAAACACTCTTTTTGTAGAATCTGCAAGAGGATATTTGCATAGCTTTGAGGATTTCGTGGGAAACGGGATTGTCTTCAGGTAAAATCTAGACAGAAGCATTCTCAGAAACTTTTTTGGGATGTTTGCATTCAAGTCACAGAGTAGAACATTCCCTTTGGTAGAGCAGGTTTGAAACACTCTTTTTGTAGTATCTGGAAGTGGACATTTGGAGCACTATCAGGCCCATGTTGGAAAGGGAAATATCTTCCCGTAACAACTAGGCAGAAGCATTCTCAGAAACTTATTTGAGATGTGTGTACTCAACTAAGAGAATTGAACCACCGTTTTGAAGGAGCAGTTTTGAAACACTCTTTTTCTGGAATCTGCAAGAGTATATTTGCCTAGCCTTGAGGATTTCGTTGGAAACGGGATTGTCTTCAGAGAAAATCTAGACAGAAGCATTCTCAGGAAACTTCTTTGGGATGTTTGCATTCAAGTCACAGAGTAGAACATTCCCTTTGGTAGAGCAGGTTTGAAACACTCTTTTTTTAGTATATGGAAGTGGACATTTGGAGCGCTTTCAGGCCTACGTTGGAAAAGGAAATATCTTCCCATAACAACTAGACAGAAGCATTCTCAGAAACTAGTTTCTGATGTGTGTCCTCAACTAACACAGTTGAACATTTCTTTAGACAGAACAGTTTTGAAACACTCTTTTTGTGGAATCTGCAAGTGGCTATTTGGCTAGATTTGAGGATTTCGTTGGAAACGGGATTACATATAAAAAGCAGTCAGCAGCATTCTCAGAAAGTTCTTTGTGATGATTGCATTCAAGTCACAGAATTGAACATTCCCTTTCACAGAGCAGGTTTGAAACACTCTTTTTGTAGTGTGTGTAAGTGGACATTTGGAGCGCTTTCCGGCCTAAGGTGAAAAAGGAAATATCTTCCCATAAAAACTAGACAGAAGCATTCTCAGAAACTTACTCGTGATGTGTGTCCTCAACTAAAGGAGTAGAACCTTTCTTTTCATAGAGAAGTTTTGAAACGCTCTTTTTGTGGAATCTGCAAGTGGATATTTGGCTAGTTTTGAGGATTTCGTTGGAAGCGGGAATTCATACAAATTGCAGACTGCAGCGTTCTGAGAATCATCTTTGTGATGTTTGTATTCAGGACACAGAGTTGAACATTCCCTATCATAGAGCAGGTTTGAATCACTCCTTTTGTAATATCTGGAAGTGGACATTTGGAGCGCTTTCAGGCCTATGTTGGAAAAGGAAATATCTTCCCATAACAACTAGACAGAAGCATTCTCAGAAACTTATTTGAGATGTGTGTACTCAACTAAGAGAATTGAACCACCGTTTTGAAGGAGCAGTTTTGAAACACTCTTTTTCTGGAATCTGCAAGTGGATATTTGGCTAGCTTTGGGGATTTCGCTGGAAGCGGGAATACATATAAAAAGCACACAGCAGCGTTCTGAGAAACTGCTTTCTGATGTTTGCATTCAAGTCAAAAGTTGAACACTCCCTTTCATAGAGCAGTCTTGAAACACCCCTTTTGTAGTATCTGGAACTGGACTTTTGGAGCGATTTCAGGGCTAAGGTGAAAAAGGAAATATCTTCCCATAAAAACTGGACAGAAGCATTCTCAGAAACTTGGTTATGCTGTATCTACTCAACTAACAAAGTTGAACCTTTCTTTTGATAGAGCAGTTTTGAAATGGTCTTTTTGTGGAATCTGCAAGTGGATATTTGGCTAGTTTTGAGGATTTCGTTGGAAGCGGGAATTCATACAAATTGCAGACTGCAGCGTTCTGAGAAACATCTTTGTGATGTTTGTATTCAGGACACAGAGTTGAACATTCCCTATCATAGAGCAGGTTGGAATCACTCCTTTTGTAGTATCTGGAAGTGGACATTTGGAGCGCTTTCAGGCCTATTTTGGAAAGGGAAATATCTTCCCGTAACAACTATGCAGAAGCATTCTCAGAAACTTGTTTGTGATGTGTGCCCTCTACTGACAGAGTTGAACCTTTCTTTTCATAGAGCAGTTTTGAAACACTCTTTTTGTAGAATCTGCAAGAGGATATTTGCATAGCTTTGAGGATTTCGTGGGAAACGGGATTGTCTTCAGGTAAAATCTAGACAGAAGCATTCTCAGAAACTTCTTTGGGATGTTTGCATTCAAGTCACAGAGTAGAACATTCCCTTTGGTAGAGCAGGTTTGAAACACTCTTTTTGTAGTATCTGGAAGTGGACATTTGGAGCGCTTTCAGGCCCATGTTGGAAAGGGAAATATCTTCCCGTAACAACTAGGCAGAAGCATTCTCAGAAACTTATTTGAGATGTGTGTACTCAACTAAGAGAATTGAACCACCGTTTTGAAGGAGCAGTTTTGAAACACTCTTTTTCTGGAATCTGCAAGAGTATATTTGCCTAGCCTTGAGGATTTCGTTGGAAACGGGATTGTCTTCAGAGAAAATCTAGACAGAAGCATTCTCAGAAACTTCTTTGGGATGCTTGCATTCAAGTCACAGAGTAGAACATTCCCTTTGGTAGAGCAGGTTTGAAACACTCTTTTTGTAGTATCTGGAAGTGGACATTTGGAGCGCTTTCAGGCCTACGTTGGAAAAGGAAATATCTTCCCATAACAACTAGACAGAAGCATTCTCAGAAACTAGTTTCTGATGTGTGTCCTCAACTAACACAGTTGAACATTTCTTTAGACAGAACAGTTTTGAAACACTCTTTTTGTGGAATCTGCAAGTGGCTATTTGGCTAGATTTGAGGATTTCGTTGGAAACGGGATTACATATAAAAAGCAGTCAGCGGCATTCTCAGAAAGTTCTTTGTGATGATTGCATTCAAGTCACAGAATTGAACATTCCCTTTCACAGAGCAGGTTTGAAACACTCTTTTTGTAGTGTGTGTAAGTGGACATTTGGAGCACTTACCGGCCTAAGGTGAAAAAGGAAATAATCTTCCCATAAAAACTAGACAGAAGCATTCTCAGAAACTTACTCGTGATGTGTGTCCTCAACTAAAGGAGTAGAACCTTTCTTTTCATAGAGAAGTTTTGAAACGCTCTTTTTGTGGAATCTGCAAGTGGATATTTGGCTAGTTTTGAGGATTTCGTTGGAAGCGGGAATTCATACAAATTGCAGACTGCAGCGTTCTGAGAAACATCTTTGTGATGTTTGTATTCAGGACACAGAGTTGAACATTCCCTATCATAGAGCAGGTTGGAATCACTCCTTTTGTAGTATCTGGAAGTGGACATTTGGAGCGCTTTCAGGCCTATGTTGGAAAAGGAAATATCTTCCCATAACAACTAGACAGAAGCATTCTCAGAAACTTATTTGAGATGTGTGTACTCAACTAAGAGAATTGAACCACCGTTTTGAAGGAGCAGTTTTGAAACACTCTTTTTCTGGAATCTGCAAGAGTATATTTGCCTAGCCTTGAGGATTTCGTTGGAAACGGGATTGTCTTCAGAGAAAATCTAGACAGAAGCATTCTCAGAAACTTCTTTGGGATGTTTGCATTCAAGTCACAGAGTAGAACATTCCCTTTGGTAGAGCAGGTTTGAAACACTCTTTTTGTAGTATCTGGAAGTGGACATTTGGAGCGCTTTCAGGCCTACGTTGGAAAAGGAAATATCTTCCCATAACAACTAGACAGAAGCATTCTCAGAAACTAGTTTCTGATGTGTGTCCTCAACTAACACAGTTGAACATTTCTTTAGACAGAACAGTTTTGAAACACTCTTTTTGTGGAATCTGCAAGTGGCTATTTGGCTAGATTTGAGGATTTCGTTGGAAACGGGATTACATATAAAAAGCAGTCAGCAGCATTCTCAGAAAGTTCTTTGTGATGATTGCATTCAAGTCACAGAATTGAACATTCCCTTTCACAGAGCAGGTTTGAAACACTCTTTTTGTAGTGTGTGTAAGTGGACATTTGGAGCACTTACCGGCCTAAGGTGAAAAAGAAAATATCTTCCCATAAAAACTAGACAGAAGCATTCTCAGAAACTTACTCGTGATGTGTGTCCTCAACTAAAGGAGTAGAACCTTTCTTTTCATAGAGAAGTTTTGAAACGCTCTTTTTGTGGAATCTGCAAGTGGATATTTGGCTAGTTTTGAGGATTTCGTTGGAAGCGGGAATTCATACAAATTGCAGACTGCAGCGTTCTGAGAAACATCTTTGTGATGTTTGTATTCAGGACACAGAGTTGAACATTCCCTATCATAGAGCAGGTTGGAATCACTCCTTTTGTAGTATCTGGAAGTGGACATTTGGAGCGCTTTCAGGCCTATGTTGGAAAAGGAAATATCTTCCCATAACAACTAGACAGAAGCATTCTCAGAAACTTATTTGAGATGTGTGTACTCAACTAAGAGAATTGAACCACCGTTTTGAAGGAGCAGTTTTGAAACTCTCTTTTTCTGGAATCTGCAAGTGGATATTTGGCTAGCTTTGGGGATTTCGCTGGAAGCGGGAATACATATAAAAAGCACACAGCAGCGTTCTGAGAAACTGCTTTCTGATGTTTGCATTCAAGTCAAAAGTTGAACACTCCCTTTCATAGAGCAGTCTTGAAACACCCCTTTTGTAGTATCTGGAACTGTTCTTTTGGAGCGATTTGAGGGCTAAGGTGAAAAAGGAAATATCTTCCCATAAAAACTGGACAGAAGCATTCTCAGAAACTTGGTTATGCTGTATCTACTCAACTAACAAAGTTGAACCTTTCTTTTGATAGAGCAGTTTTGAAATGGTCTTTTTGTGGAATCTGCAAGTGGATATTTGGCTAGTTTTGAGGATTTCTTTGGAAGCGGGAATTCATACAAATTGCAGACTGCAGCGTTCTGAGAAACATCTTTGTGATGTTTGTATTCAGGACACAGAGTTGAACATTCCCTATCATAGAGCAGGTTGGAATCACTCCTTTTGTAGTATCTGGAAGTGGACATTTGGAGCGCTTTCAGGCCTATGTTGGAAAAGGAAATATCTTCCCATAACAACTAGACAGAAGCATTCTCAGAAACTTATTTGAGATGTGTGTACTCAACTAAGAGAATTGAACCACCGTTTTGAAGGAGCAGTTTTGAAACACTCTTTTTCTGGAATCTGCAAGTGGATATTTGGCTAGCTTTGGGGATTTCGCTGGAAGCGGGAATACATATAAAAAGCACACAGCAGCGTTCTGAGAAACTGCTTTCTGATGTTTGCATTCAAGTCAAAAGTTGAACACTCCCTTTCATAGAGCAGTCCTGAAACACCCCTTTTGTAGTATCTGGAACTGGACTTTTGGAGCGCTTTCAGGGCTAAGGTGAAAAAGGAAATATCTTCCCATAAAAACTGGACAGAAGCATTCTCAGAAACTTGTTTATGCTGTATCTACTCAACTAACAAAGTTGAACCTTTCTTTTGATAGAGCAGTTTTGAAATGCTCTTTTTGTGGAATCTGCAAGTGGATATTTGGCTAGTTTTGAGGATTTCGTTGGAAGCGGGAATTCATACAAATTGCAGACTGCAGCGTTCTGAGAAACATCTTTGTGATGTTTGTATTCAGGACAGAGAGTTGAACATTCCCTATCATAGAGCAGGTTGGAATCACTCCTTTTGTAGTATCTGGAAGTGGACATTTGGAGCGCTTTCAGGCCTATGTTGAAAAAGGAAATATCTTCCCATAACAACTAGACACAAGCATTCTCAGAAACTTGTTTGTGATGTGTGCCCTCTACTGACAGAGTTGAACCTTTCTTTTCATAGAGCAGTTTTGAAACACTCTTTTTGTAGAATCTGCAAGAGGATATTAGCATAGCTTTGAGGATTTCGTGGGAAACGGGATTGTCTTCAGGTAAAATCTAGACAGAAGCATTCTCAGAAACTTCTTTGGGATGTTTGCATTCAAGTCACAGAGTAGAACATTCCCTTTGGTAGAGCAGGTTTGAAACACTCTTTTTGTAGTATCTGGAAGTGGACATTTGGAGCGCTTTCAGGCCCATGTTGGAAAGGGAAATATCTTCCCGTAACAACTAGGCAGAAGCATTCTCAGAAACTTATTTGAGATGTGTGTACTCAACTAAGAGAATTGAACCACCGTTTTGAAGGAGCAGTTTTGAAACACTCTTTTTCTGGAATCTGCAAGAGGATATTTGCCTAGCCTTGAGGATTTCGTTGGAAACGGGATTGTCTTCAGATCAAATCTAGACAGAAGCATTCTCAGAAACTTCTTTGGGATGTTTGCATTCAAGTCACAGAGTAGAACATTCCCTTTGGTAGAGCAGGTTTGAAACACTCTTTTTTTAGTATATGGAAGTGGACATTTGGAGCGCTTTCCGGCCTACGTTGGAAAAGGAAATATCTTCCCATAACAACTAGACAGAAGCATTCTCAGAAACTAGTTTCTGATGTGTGTCCTCAACTAACACAGTTGAACATTTCTTTAGACAGAACAGTTTTGAAACACTCTTTTTGTGGAATCTGCAAGTGGCTATTTGGCTAGATTTGAGGATTTCGTTGGAAACGGGATTACATATAAAAAGCAGACAGCAGCATTCTCAGAAAGTTCTTTGTGATGATTGCATTCAAATCACAGAATTGAACATTCCTTTTCACAGAGGAGGTTTGAAACACTCTTTTTGTAGTGTGTGTAAGTGGACATTTGGAGCGCTTTCCGGCCTAAGGTGAAAAAGGAAATATCTTCCCATAAAAACTAGACAGAAGCATTCTCAGAAACTTACTCGTGATGTGTGTCCTCAACTAAAGGAGTAGAACCTTTCTTTTCATAGAGAAGTTTTGAAACGCTCTTTTTGTGGAATCTGCAAGTGGATATTTGGCTAGTTTGGAGGATTTCGTTGGAAGCGGGAATTCATACAAATTGCAGACTGCAGCGTTCTGAGAAACATCTTTGTGATGTTTGTATTCAGGACACAGAGTTGAACATTCCCTATCATAGAGCAGGTTGGAATCACTCCTTTTGTAGTATCTGGAAGTGGACATTTGGAGTGCTTTCAGGCCTATGTTGGAAAAGGAAATATCTTCCCATAACAACTAGACAGAAGCATTCTCAGAAACTTATTTGAGATGTGTGTACTCAACTAAGAGAATTGAACCACCGTTTTGAAGGAGCAGTTTTGAAACACTCTTTTTCTGGAATCTGCAAGTGGATATTTGGCTAGCTTTGGGGATTTCGCTGGAGGCGGGAATACATATAAAAAGCACACAGCAGCGTTCTGAGAAACTGCTTTCTGATGTTTGCATTCAAGTCAAAAGTTGAACACTCCCTTTCATAGAGCAGTCCTGAAACACTCCTTTTGTAGTATCTGGAACTGGACTTTTGGAGCGCTTTCAGGGCTAAGGTGAAAAAGGAAATATCTTCCCATAAAAACTGGACAGAAGCATTCTCAGAAACTTGTTTATGCTGTATCTACTCAACTAACAAAGTTGAACCTTTCTTTTGATAGAGCAGTTTTGAAATGCTCTTTTTGTGGAATCTGCAAGTGGATATTTGGCTAGTTTTGAGGATTTCGCTGGAAGCGGGAATTCATACAAATTGCAGACTGCAGCGTTCTGAGAAACATCTTTGTGATGTTTGTATTCAGGACAGAGAGTTGAACATTCCCTATCATAGAGCAGGTTGGAATCACTCCTTTTATAGTATCTGGAAGTGGACATTTGGAGCGCTTTCAGGCCTATGTTGAAAAAGGAAATATCTTCCCATAACAACTAGACACAAGCATTCTCAGAAACTTATTTCAGATGTGTGTACTCAACTAAGAGAATTGAACCACCGTTTTGAAGGAGCAGTTTTGAAACACTCTTTTTCTGGAATCTGCAAGTGCATATTTGGCTAGCTTTGGGGATTTCGCTGGAAGCGGGAATACATATAAAAAGCACACAGCAGCGTTCTGAGAAACTGCTTTCTGATGTTTGCATTCAAGTCAAAAGTTGAACACTCCCTTTCATAGAGCAGTCCTGAAACACCCCTTTTGTAGTATCTGGAACTGGACTTTTGGAGCGATTTCAGGGCTAAGGTGAAAAAGGAAATATCTTCCCATAAAAACTGGACAGAAGCATTCTGAGAAACTTGTTTATGCTGTATCTACTCAACTAACAAAGTTGAACCTTTCTTTTGATAGAGCAGTTTTGAAATGGTCTTTTTGTGGAATCTGCAAGTGGATATTTGGCTAGTTTTGAGGATTTCGTTGGAAGCGGGAATTCATACAAATTGCAGACTGCAGCGTTCTGAGAAACATCTTTGTGATGTTTGTATTCAGGACACAGAGTTGAACATTCCCTATCATAGAGCAGGTTGGAATCACTCCTTTTGTAGTATCTGGAAGTGGACATTTGGAGCGCTTTCAGGCCTATTTTGGAAAGGGAAATATCTTCCCGTAACAACTATGCAGAAGCATTCTCAGAAACTTGTTTGTGATGTGTGCCCTCTACTGACAGAGTTGAACCTTTCTTTTCATAGAGCAGTTTTGAAACACTCTTTTTGTAGAATCTGCAAGAGGATATTTGCATAGCTTTGAGGATTTCGTGGGAAACGGGATTGTCTTCAGGTAAAATCTAGACAGAAGCATTCTCAGAAACTTCTTTGGGATGTTTGCATTCAAGTCACAGAGTAGAACATTCCCTTTGGTAGAGCAGGTTTGAAACACTCTTTTTGTAGTATCTGGAAGTGGACATTTGGAGCGCTTTCAGGCCCATGTTGGAAAGGGAAATATCTTCCCGTAACAACTAGGCAGAAGCATTCTCAGAAACTTATTTGAGATGTGTGTACTCAACTAAGAGAATTGAACCACCGTTTTGAAGGAGCAGTTTTGAAACACTCTTTTTCTGGAATCTGCAAGAGTATATTTGCCTAGCCTTGAGGATTTCGTTGGAAACGGGATTGTCTTCAGAGAAAATCTAGACAGAAGCATTCTCAGAAACTTCTTTGGGATGCTTGCATTCAAGTCACAGAGTAGAACATTCCCTTTGGTAGAGCAGGTTTGAAACACTCTTTTTGTAGTATCTGGAAGTGGACATTTGGAGCGCTTTCAGGCCTACGTTGGAAAAGGAAATATCTTCCCATAACAACTAGACAGAAGCATTCTCAGAAACTAGTTTCTGATGTGTGTCCTCAACTAACACAGTTGAACATTTCTTTAGACAGAACAGTTTTGAAACACTCTTTTTGTGGAATCTGCAAGTGGCTATTTGGCTAGATTTGAGGATTTCGTTGGAAACGGGATTACATATAAAAAGCAGTCAGCGGCATTCTCAGAAAGTTCTTTGTGATGATTGCATTCAAGTCACAGAATTGAACATTCCCTTTCACAGAGCAGGTTTGAAACACTCTTTTTGTAGTGTGTGTAAGTGGACATTTGGAGCACTTACCGGCCTAAGGTGAAAAAGGAAATATCTTCCCATAAAAACTAGACAGAAGCATTCTCAGAAACTTACTCGTGATGTGTGTCCTCAACTAAAGGAGTAGAACCTTTCTTTTCATAGAGAAGTTTTGAAACGCTCTTTTTGTGGAATCTGCAAGTGGATATTTGGCTAGTTTTGAGGATTTCGTTGGAAGCGGGAATTCATACAAATTGCAGACTGCAGCGTTCTGAGAAACATCTTTGTGATGTTTGTATTCAGGACACAGAGTTGAACATTCCCTATCATAGAGCAGGTTGGAATCACTCCTTTTGTAGTATCTGGAAGTGGACATTTGGAGCGCTTTCAGGCCTATGTTGGAAAAGGAAATATCTTCCCATAACAACTAGACAGAAGCATTCTCAGAAACTTATTTGAGATGTGTGTACTCAACTAAGAGAATTGAACCACCGTTTTGAAGGAGCAGTTTTGAAACACTCTTTTTCTGGAATCTGCAAGTGGATATTTGGCTAGCTTTGGGGATTTCGCTGGAAGCGGGAATACATATAAAAAGCACACAGCAGCGTTCTGAGAAACTGCTTTCTGATGTTTGCATTCAAGTCAAAAGTTGAACACTCCCTTTCATAGAGCAGTCTTGAAACACCCCTTTTGTAGTATCGGGAACTGGACATTTGGAGCGCTTTCAGGGCTAAGGTGAAAAAGGAAATATCTTCCCATAAAAACTGGACAGAAGCATTCTCAGAAACTTGTTTATGCTGTATCTACTCAACTAACAAAGTTGAACCTTTCTTTTGATAGAGCAGTTTTGAAATGCTCTTTTTGTGGAATCTGCAAGTGGATATTTGGCTAGTTTTGAGGATTTCGTTGGAAGCGGGAATTCATACAAATTGCAGACTGCAGCGTTCTGAGAAACATCTTTGTGATGTTTGTATTCAGGACAGAGAGTTGAACATTCCCTATCATAGAGCAGGTTGGAATCACTCCTTTTGTAGTATCTGGAAGTGGACATTTGGAGCGCTTTCAGGCCTATGTTGAAAAAGGAAATATCTTCCCATAACAACTAGACACAAGCATTCTCAGAAACTTGTTTGTGATGTGTGCCCTCTACTGACACAGTTGAACCTTTCTTTTCATAGAGCAGTTTTGAAACACTCTTTTTGTAGAATCTGCAAGAGGATATTTGCATAGCTTTGAGGATTTCGTGGGAAACGGGATTGTCTTCAGGTAAAATCTAGACAGAAGCATTCTCAGAAACTTCTTTGGGATGTTTGCATTCAAATCACAGAGTAGAACATTCCCTTTGGTAGAGCAGGTTTGAAACACTCTTTTTGTAGTATCTGGAAGTGGACATTTGGAGCGCTTTCAGGCCTATGTTGGAAAGGGAAATATCTTCCCGTAACAACTAGGCAGAAGCATTCTCAGAAACTTATTTGAGATGTGTGGACTCAACTAAGAGAATTGAACCACCGTTTTGAAGGAGCAGTTTTGAAACACTCTTTTTCTGGAATCTGCAAGAGTATATTTGCCTAGCCTTGAGGATTTCGTTGGAAACGGGATTGTCTTCAGATAAAATCTAGACAGAAGCATTCTCAGAAACTTCTTTGGGATGTTTGCATTCAAGTCACAGAGTAGAACATTCCCTTTGGTAGAGCAGGTTTGAAACACTCTTTTTTTAGTATATGGAAGTGGACATTTGGAGCGCTTTCAGGCCTACGTTGGAAAAGGAAATATCTTCCCATAACAACTAGACAGAAGCATTCTCAGAAACTAGTTTCTGATGTGTGTCCTCAACTAACACAGTTGTACATTTCTTTAGACAGAACAGTTTTGAAACACTCTTTTTGTGGAATCTGCAAGTGGATATTGGGCTAGATTTGAGGATTTCGTTGGAAACGGGATTACATATAAAAAGCAGTCAGCAGCATTCTCAGAAAGTTCTTTGTGATGATTGCATTCAAGTCACAGAATTGAACATTCCCTTTCACAGAGCAGGTTTGAAACACTCTTTTTGTAGTGTGTGTAAGTGGACATTTGGAGCGCTTTCCGGCCTAAGGTGAAAAAGGAAATATCTTCCCATAAAAACTAGACAGAAGCATTCTCAGAAACTTACTCGTGATGTGTGTCCTCAACTAAAGGAGTAGAACCTTTCTATTCATAGAGAAGTTTTGAAACGCTCTTTTTGTGGAATCTCCAAGTAGATATTTGGCTAGTTTTGAGGATTTCGTTGGAAGCGGGAATTCATACAAATTGCAGACTGCAGCGTTCTGAGAAACATCTTTGTGATGTTTGTATTCAGGACACAGAGATGAACATTCCCTATCATAGAGCAGGTTGGAATCACTCCTTTTGTAGTATCTGGAAGTGGACATTTGGAGCGCTTTCAGGCCTATGTTGAAAAAGGAAATATCTTCCCATAACAACTAGACACAAGCATTCTCAGAAACTTGTTTGTGATGTGTGCCCTCTACTGACAGAGTTGAACCTTTCTTTTCATAGAGCAGTTTTGAAACACTCTTTTTGTAGAATCTGCAAGAGGATATTTGCATAGCTTTGAGGATTTCGTGGGAAACGGGATTGCCTTCAGGTAAAATCTAGATAGAAGCATTCTCAGAAACTTCTTTGGGATGTTTGCATTCAAGTCACAGAGTAGAACACTCCCTTTGTTAGAGCAGGTTTGAAACCCTCCTTTTGTAGTATGTGGAAGTGGACATTTGGAGCGCTTTCAGGCCCATGTTGGAAAGGGAAATATCTTCCCGTAACAACTAGGCAGAAGCATTCTCAGAAACTTATTTGAGATGTGTGTACTCAACTAAGAGAATTGAACCACCGTTTTGAAGGCGCAGTTTTGAAACACTCTTTTTCTGGAATCTGCAAGAGTATATTTGCCTAGCCTTGAGGATTTCGTTGGAAACGGGATTGTCTTCAGATAAAATCTAGACAGAAGCATTCTCAGAAACTTCTTTGGGATGTTTGCATTCAAGTCACAGAGTAGAACATTCCCTTTGGTAGAGCAGATTTGAAACACTCTTTTTTTAGTATATGGAAGTGGACATTTGGAGCGCTTTCAGGCCTACGTTGGAAAAGGAAATATCTTCCCATAACAACTAAACAGAAGCATTCTCAGATACTAGTTTCTGATGTGTGTCCTCAACTAACACAGTTGAACATTTCTTTAGACAGAACAGTTTTGAAACACTCTTTTTGTGGAATCTGCAAGTGGCTATTTGGCTAGATTTGAGGATTTCGTAGGAAACGGGATTACATATAAAAAGCAGACAGCAGCATTCTCAGAAAGTTCTTTGTGATGATTGCATTCAAGTCACAGAATTGAACATTCCCTTTCACAGAGCAGGTTTGAAACACTCTTTTTGTAGTGTGTGTAAGTGGACATTTGGAGCACTTTCCGGCCTAAGGTGAACAAGGAAATATCTTCCCATAAAAACTAGACAGAAGCATTCTCAGAAACTTACTCGTGATGTGTGTCCTCAACTAAAGGAGTAGAACCTTTCTTTTCATAGAGAAGTTTTGAAACGCTCTTTTTGTGTAATCTGCAAGTGGATATTTGGCTAGTTTTGAGGATTTCGTTGGAAGCGGGAATTCATACAAATTGCAGACTGCAGCGTTCTGAGAAACATCTTTGTGATGTTTGTATTCAGGACACAGAGTTGAACATTCCCTATCATAGAGCAGGTTGGAATCACTCCTTTTGTAGTATCTGGAAGTGGACATTTGGAACGCTTTCAGGCCTATGTTGGAAAAGGAAATATCTTCCCATAACAACTAGACAGAAGCATTCTCAGAAACTTATTTGAGATGTGTGTACTCAACTAAGAGAATTGAACCACCGTTTTGAAGGAGCAGTTTTGAAACACTCTTTTTCTGGAATCTGCAAGTGGATATTTGGCTAGCTTTTGGGATTTCGCTGGAAGCGGGAATACATCTAAAAAGCACACAGCAGCGTTCTGAGAAACTGCTTTCTGATGTTTGCATTCAAGTCAAAAGTTGAACACTCCCTTTCATAGAGCAGTCCTGAAACACTCCTTTTGTAGTATCTGGAACTGGACTTTTGGAGCGCTTTCAGGGCTAAGGTGAAAAAGGAAATATCTTCCCATAAAAACTGGACAGAAGCATTCTCAGAAACTTGTTTATGCTGTATCTACTCTACTAACAAAGTTGAACCTTTCTTTTGATAGAGCAGTTTTGAAATGCTCTTTTTGTGGAATCTGCAAGTGGATATTTGGCTAGATTTGAGGATTTCGTTGGAAGCTGGAATTCATACAAATTGCAGACTGCAGCGTACTGAGAAACATCTTTGTGATGTTTGTATTCAGGACACAGAGTTGAACATTCCCTATCATAGAGCAGGTTGGAATCACTCCTTTTGTAGTATCTGGAAGTGGACATTTGGAGCGCTTTCAGGCCTATGTTGAAAAAGGAAATATCTTCCCATAACAACTAGACAGAAGCATTCTCAGAAACTTATTTGAGATGTGTGTACTCAACTAAGAGAATTGAACCACCGTTTTGAAGGAGCAGTTTTGAAACACTCTTTTTCTGGAATCTGCAAGTGGATATTTGGCTAGCTTTGGGGATTTCGCTGGAAGCGGGAATACATATAAAAAGCACACAGCAGCGTTCTGAGTAAACTGCTTTCTGATGTTTGCATTCAAGTCAAAAGTTGAACACTCCCTTTCATAGAGCAGTCTTGAAACACCCCTTTTGTAGTATCTGGAACTGGACTTTTGGAGCGATTTCAGGGCTAAGGTGAAAAAGGAAATATCTTCCCATAAAAACTGGACAGAAGCATTCTCAGAAACTTGTTTATGCTGTATCTACTCAACTAACAAAGTTGAACCTTTCTTTTGATAGAGCAGTTTTGAAATGGTCTTTTTGTGGAATCTGCAAGTGGATATTTGGCTAGTTTTGAGGATTTCGTTGGAAGCGGGAATTCATACAAATTGCAGACTGCAGCGTTCTGAGAAACATCTTTGTGATGTTTGTATTCAGGACACAGAGTTGAACATTCCCTATCATAGAGCAGGTTGGAATCACTCCTTTTGTAGTATCTGGAAGTGGACATTTGGAGCGCTTTCAGGCCTATGTTGGAAAGGGAAATATCTTCCCGTAACAGCTATGCAGAAGCATTCTCAGAAACTTGTTTGTGATGTGTGCCCTCTACTGACAGAGTTGAACCTTTCTTTTCATAGAGCAGTTTTGAAACACTCTTTTTGTAGAATCTGCAAGAGGATATTTGCATAGCTTTGAGGATTTCGTGGGAAACGGGATTGTCTTCAGGTAAAATCTAGACAGAAGCATTCTCAGAAACTTCTTTGGGATGTTTGCATTCAAGTCACAGAGTAGAACATTCCCTTTGGTAGAGCAGGTTTGAAACACTCTTTTTGTAGTATCTGGAAGTGGACATTTGGAGCGCTTTCAGGCCTATGTTGGAAAGGGAAATATCTTCCCGTAACAACTAGGCAGAAGCATTCTCAGAAACTTATTTGAGATGTGTGTACTCAACTAAGAGAATTGAACCACCGTTTTGAAGGAGCAGTTTTGAAACACTCTTTTTCTGGAATCTGCAAGAGTATATTTGCCTAGCCTTGAGGATTTCGTTGGAAACGGGATTGTCTTCAGAGAAAATCTAGACAGAAGCATTCTCAGAAACTTCTTTGGGATGTTTGCATTCAAGTCACAGAGTAGAACATTCCCTTTGGTAGAGCAGGTTTGAAACACTCTTTTTGTAGTATCTGGAAGTGGACATTTGGAGCGCTTTCAGGCCTACGTTGGAAAAGGAAATATCTTCCCATAACAACTAGACAGAAGCATTCTCAGAAACTAGTTTCTGATGTGTGTCCTCAACTAACACAGTTGAACATTTCTTTAGACAGAACAGTTTTGAAACACTCTTTTTGTGGAATCTGCAAGTGGCTATTTGGTTAGATTTGAGGATTTCGTTGGAAACGGGATTACATATAAAAAGCAGTCAGCAGCATTCTCAGAAAGTTCTTTGTGATGATTGCATTCAAGTCACAGAATTGAACATTCCCTTTCACAGAGCAGGTTTGAAACACTCTTTTTGTAGTGTGTGTAAGTGGACATTTGGAGCACTTACCGGCCTAAGGTGAAAAAGGAAATATCTTCCCATAAAAACTAGACAGAAGCATTCTCAGAAACTTACTCGTGATGTGTGTCCTCAACTAAAGGAGTAGAACCTTTCTTTTCATAGAGAAGTTTTGAAACGCTCTTTTTGTGGAATCTGCAAGTGGATATTTGGCTAGTTTTGAGGATTTCGTTGGAAGCGGGAATTCATACAAATTGCAGACTGCAGCGTTCTGAGAAACTGCTTTCTGATGTTTGCATTCAAGTCAAAAGTTGCACACTCCCTTTCATAGAGCAGTCCTGAAACACTCCTTTTGTAGTATCTGGAACTGGACTTTTGGAGCGCTTTCAGGGCTAAGGTGAAAAAGGAAATATCTTCCCATAAAAACTGGACAGAAGCATTCTCAGAAACTTATTTGAGATGTGTGTACTCAACTAAGAGAATTGAACCACCGTTTTGAAGGAGCAGTTTTGAAACTCTCTTTTTCTGGAATCTGCAAGTGGATATTTGGCTAGCTTTGGGGATTTCGCTGGAAGCGGGAATACATATAAAAAGCACACAGCAGCGTTCTGAGAAACTGCTTTCTGATGTTTGCATTCAAGTCAAAAGTTGAACACTCCCTTTCATAGAGCAGTCCTGAAACACCCCTTTGGTAGTATCTGGAACTGGACTTTTGGAGCGATTTCAGGGCTAAGGTGAAAAAGGAAATATCTTCCCATAAAAACTGGACAGAAGCATTCTCAGAAACTTGTTTATGCTGTATCTACTCAACTAACAAAGTTGAACCTTTCTTTTGATAGAGCAGTTTTGAAATGGTCTTTTTGTGGAATCTGCAAGTGGATATTTGGCTAGTTTTGAGGATTTCGTTGGAAGCGGGAATTCATACAAATTGCAGACTGCAGCGTTCTGAGAAACATCTTTGTGATGTTTGTATTCAGGACACAGAGTTGAACATTCCCTATCATAGAGCAGGTTGGAATCACTCCTTTTGTAGTATCTGGAAGTGGACATTTGGAGCGCTTTCAGGCCTATTTTGGAAAGGGAAATATCTTCCCGTAACAACTATGCAGAAGCATTCTCAGAAACTTGTTTGTGATGTGTGCCCTCTACTGACAGAGTTGAACCTTTCTTTTCATAGAGCAGTTTTGAAACACTCTTTTTGTAGAATCTGCAAGAGGATATTTGCATAGCTTTGAGGATTTCGTGGGAAACGGGATTGTCTTCAGGTAAAATCTAGACAGAAGCATTCTCAGAAACTTCTTTGGGATGTTTGCATTCAAGTCACAGAGTAGAACATTCCCTTTGGTAGAGCAGGTTTGAAACACTCTTTTTGTAGTATCTGGAAGTGGACATTTGGAGCGCTTTCAGGCCCATGTTGGAAAGGGAAATATCTTCCCGTAACAACTAGGCAGAAGCATTCTCAGAAACTTATTTGAGATGTGTGTACTCAACTAAGAGAATTGAACCACCCTTTTGAAGGAGCAGTTTTGAAACACTCTTTTTCTGGAATCTGCAAGAGTATATTTTCCTAGCCTTGAGGATTTCGTTGGAAACGGGATTGTCTTCAGAGAAAATCTAGACAGAAGCATTCTCAGAAACTTCTTTGGGATGTTTGCATTCAAGTCAGAGAGTAGAACATTCCCTTTGGTAGAGCAGGTTTGAAACACTCTTTTTTTAGTATATGGAAGTGGACAATTTGAGCGCTTTCAGGCCTACGTTGGAAAAGGAAATATCTTCCCATTACAACTAGACAGAAGCATTCTCAGAAACTAGTTTCTGATGTGTGTCCTCAACTAACACAGTTGAACATTTCTTTAGACAGAACAGTTTTGAAACACTCTTTTTGTGGAATCTGCAAGTGGCTATTTGGCTAGATTTGAGGATTTCGTTGGAAACGGGATTACATATAAAAAGCAGTCAGCGGCATTCTCAGAAAGTTCTTTGTGATGATTGCATTCAAGTCACAGAATTGAACATTCCCTTTCACAGAGCAGGTTTGAAACACTCTTTTTGTAGTGTGTGTAAGTGGACATTTGGAGCACTTACCGGCCTAAGGTGAAAAAGGAAATATCTTCCCATAAAAACTAGACAGAAGCATTCTCAGAAACTTACTCGTGATGTGTGTCCTCAACTAAAGGAGTAGAACCTTTCTTTTCATAGAGAAGTTTTGAAACGCTCTTTTTGTGGAATCTGCAAGTGGATATTTGGCTAGTTTTGAGGATTTCGTTGGAAGCGGGAATTCATACAAATTGCAGACTGCCAGCGTTCTGAGAAACATCTTTGTGATGTTTGTATTCAGGACACAGTAGTTGAACATTCCCTATCATAGAGCAGGTTTGAATCACTCCTTTTGTAGTATCTGGAAGTGGACATTTGGAGCGCTTTCAGGCCTATGTTGGAAAAGGAAATATCTTCCCATAACAACTAGACAGAAGCATTCTCAGAAACTTATTTGAGATGTGTGTACTCAACTAAGAGAATTGAACCACCGTTTTGAAGGAGCAGTTTTGAAACACTCTTTTTCTGGAATCTGCAAGTGGATATTTGGCTAGCTTTGGGGATTTCGCTGGAAGCGGGAATACATATAAAAAGCACACAGCAGCGTTCTGAGAAACTGCTTTCTGATGTTTGCATTCAAGTCAAAAGTTGAACACTCCCTTTCATAGTGCAGTCCTGAAACACTCCTTTTGTAGTATCTGGAACTGGACTTTTGGAGCGCTTTCAGGGCTAAGGTGAAAAAGGAAATATCTTCCCATAAAAACTGGACAGAAGCATTCTCAGAAACTTGTTTATGCTGTATCTACTCAACTAACAAAGTTGAACCTTTCTTTTGATAGAGCAGTTTTGAAATGCTCTTTTTGTGGAATCTGCAAGTGGATATTTGGCTAGTTTTGAGGATTTCGCTGGAAGCGGGAATTCATACAAATTGCAGACTGCAGCGTTCTGAGAAACATCTTTGTGATGTTTGTATTCAGGACAGAGAGTTGAACATTCCCTATCATAGAGCAGGTTGGAATCACTCCTTTTGTAGTATCTGGAAGTGGACATTTGGAGCGCTTTCAGGCCTATGTTGAAAAAGGAAATATCTTCCCATAACAACTAGACACAAGCATTCTCAGAAACTTGTTTGTGATGTGTGCCCTCTACTGACAGAGTTGAACCTTTCTTTTCATAGAGCAGTTTTGAAACACTCTTTTTGTAGAATCTGCAAGAGGATATTTGCATAGCTTTGAGGATTTCGTGGGAAACGGGATTGTCTTCAGGTAAAATCTAGACAGAAGCATTCTCAGAAACTTCTTTGGGATGTTTGCATTCAAGTCACAGAGCAGAACATTCCCTTTGGTAGAGCAGGTTTGAATCACTCCTTTTGTAGTATCTGGAAGTGGACATTTGGAGCGCTTTCAGGCCCATGTTGGAAAGGGAAATATCTTCCCGTAACAACTAGGCAGAAGCATTCTCAGAAACTTATTTGAGATGTGTGTACTCAACTAAGAGAATTGAACCACCGTTTTGAAGGAGCAGTTTTGAAACACTCTTTTTCTGGAATCTGCAAGAGTATATTTGCCTAGCCTTGAGGATTTCGTTGGAAACGGGATTGTCTTCAGAGAAAATCTAGACAGAAACATTCTCAGAAACTTCTTTGGGATGCTTGCATTCCAGTCACAGAGTAGAACATTCCCTTTGGTAGAGCAGGTTTGAAACACTCTTTTTGTAGTATCTGGAAGTGGACATTTGGAGCGCTTTCAGGCCTACGTTGGAAAAGGAAATATCTTCCCATAACAACTAGACAGAAGCATTCTCAGAAACTAGTTTCTGATGTGTGTCCTCAACTAACACAGTTGAACATTTCTTTAGACAGAACAGTTTTGAAACACTCTTTTTGTGGAATCTGCAAGTGGCTATTTGGCTAGATTTGAGGATTTCGTTGGAAACGGGATTACATATAAAAAGCAGTCAGCAGCATTCTCAGAAAGTTCTTTGTGATGATTGCATTCAAGTCACAGAATTGAACATTCCCTTTCACAGAGCAGGTTTGAAACACTCTTTTTGTAGTGTGTGTAAGTGGACATTTGGAGCACTTACCGGCCTAAGGTGAAAAAGGAAATATCTTCCCATAAAAACTAGACAGAAGCATTCTCAGAAACTTACTCGTGATGTGTGTCCTCAACTAAAGGAGTAGAACCTTTCTTTTCATAGAGAAGTTTTGAAACGCTCTTTTTGTGGAATCTGCAAGTGGATATTTGGCTAGTTTTGAGGATTTCGTTGGAAGCGGGAATTCATACAAATTGCAGACTGCAGCGTTCTGAGAAACATCTTTGTGATGTTTGTATTCAGGACACAGAGTTGAACATTCCCTATCATAGAGCAGGTTTGAATCACTCCTTTTGTAGTATCTGGAAGTGGACATTTGGAGCGCTTTCAGGCCTATGTTGGAAAAGGAAATATCTTCCCATAACAACTAGACAGAAGCATTCTCAGAAACTTATTTGAGATGTGTGTACTCAACTAAGAGAATTGAACCACCGTTTTGAAGGAGCAGTTTTGAAACTCTCTTTTTCTGGAATCTGCAAGTGGATATTTGGCTAGCTTTGGGGATTTCGCTGGAAGCGGGAATACATATAAAAAGCACACAGCAGCGTTCTGAGAAACTGCTTTCTGATGTTTGCATTCAAGTCAAAAGTTGAACACTCCCTTTCATAGAGCAGTCTTGAAACACCCCTTTTGTAGTATCTGGAACTGGACTTTTGGAGCGATTTCAGGGCTAAGGTGAAAAAGGAAATATCTTCCCATAAAAACTGGACAGAAGCATTCTCAGAAACTTGGTTATGCTGTATCTACTCAACTAACAAAGTTGAACCTTTCTTTTGATAGAGCAGTTTTGAAATGGTCTTTTTGTGGAATCTGCAAGTGGATATTTGGCTAGTTTTGAGGATTTCGTTGGAAGCGGGAATTCATACAAATTGCAGACTGCAGCGTTCTGAGAAACATCTTTGTGATGTTTGTATTCAGGACACAGAGTTGAACATTCCCTATCATAGAGCAGGTTGGAATCACTCCTTTTGTAGTATCTGGAAGTGGACATTTGGAGCGCTTTCAGGCCTATTTTGGAAAGGGAAATATCTTCCCGTAACAACTATGCAGAAGCATTCTCAGAAACTTGTTTGTGATGTGTGCCCTCTACTGACAGAGTTGAACCTTTCTTTTCATAGAGCAGTTTTGAAACACTCTTTTTGTAGAATCTGCAAGAGGATATTTGCATAGCTTTGAGGATTTCGTGGGAAACGGGATTGTCTTCAGGTAAAATCTAGACAGAAGCATTCTCAGAAACTTCTTTGGGATGTTTGCATTCAAGTCACAGAGTAGAACATTCCCTTTGGTAGAGCAGGTTTGAAACACTCTTTTTGTAGTATCTGGAAGTGGACATTTGGAGCGCTTTCAGGCCCATGTTGGAAAGGGAAATATCTTCCCGTAACAACTAGGCAGAAGCATTCTCAGAAACTTATTTGAGATGTGTGGACTCAACTAAGAGAATTGAACCACCGTTTTGAAGGAGCAGTTTTGAAACACTCTTTTTCTGGAATCTGCAAGAGTATATTTGCCTAGCCTTGAGAATTTCGTTGGAAACGGGATTGTCTTCAGATAAAATCTAGACAGAAGCATTCTCAGAAACTTCTTTGGGATGTTTGCATTCAAGTCACAGAGTAGAACATTCCCTTTGGTAGAGCAGGTTTGAAACACTCTTTTTTTAGTATATGGAAGTGGACATTTGGAGCGCTTTCAGGCCTACGTTGGAAAAGGAAATATCTTCCCATAACAACTAGACAGAAGCATTCTCAGAAACTAGTTTCTGATGTGTGTCCTCAACTAACACAGTTGAACATTTCTTTAGACAGAACAGTTTTGAAACTCTCTTTTTGTGGAATCTGCAAGTGGATATTTGGCTAGATTTGAGGATTTCGTTGGAAACGGGATTACATATAAAAAGCAGACAGCAGCATTCTCAGAAAGTTCTTTGTGATGATTGCATTCAAGTCACAGAATTGAACATTCCCTTTCACAGAGCAGGTTTGAAACACTCTTTTTATAGTGTGTGTAAGTGGACATTTGGAGCACTTTCCGGCCTAAGGTAAAAAAGGAAATATCTTCCCATAAAAACTAGACAGAAGCATTCTCAGAAACTTACTCGTGATGTGTGTCCTCAACTAAAGGAGTAGAACCTTTGTTTTCATAGAGAAGTTTTGAAACGCTCTTTTTGTGGAATCTGCAAGTGGATATTTGGCTAGTTTTGAGGATTTCGTTGGAAGCGGGAATTCATACAAATTGCAGACTGCAGCGTTCTGAGAAACATCTTTGTGATGTTTGTATTCAGGACACAGAGTTGAACATTCCCTATCATAGAGCAGGTTGGAATCACTCCTTTTGTAGTATCTGGAAGTGGACATTTGGAGCGCTTTCAGGCCTATGTTGGAAAAGGAAATATCTTCCCATAACAACTAGACAGAAGCATTCTCAGAAACTTATTTGAGATGTGTGTACTCAACTAAGAGAATTGAACCACCGTTTTGAAGGAGCAGTTTTGAAACACTCTTTTTCTGGAATCTGCAAGTGGATATTTGGCTAGCTTTGGGGATTTCGCTGGAAGCGGGAATACATATAAAAAGCACACAGCAGCGTTCTGAGAAACTGCTTTCTGATGTTTGCATTCAAGTCAAAAGTTGAACACTCCCTTTCATAGAGCAGTCCTGAAACACTCCTTTTGTAGTATCTGGAACTGGACTTTTGGAGCGCTTTCAGGGCTAAGGTGAAAAAGGAAATATCTTCCCATAAAAACTGGACAGAAGCATTCTCAGAAACTTACTCGTATTGTGTGTCCTCAACTAAAGGAGTAGAACCTTTCTTTTCATAGAGAAGTTTTGAAACGCTCTTTTTGTGGAATCTGCAAGTGGATATTTGGCTAGTTTTGAGGATTTCGTTGGAAGCGGGAATTCATACAAATTGCAGACTGCAGCGTTCTGAGAAACATCTTTGTGATGTTTGTATTCAGGACACAGAGTTGAACATTCCCTATCATAGAGCAGGTTGGAATCACTCCTTTTGTAGTATCTGGAAGTGGACATTTGGAGCGCTTTCAGGCCTATGTTGGAAAAGGAAATATCTTCCCATAACAACTAGACAGAAGCATTCTCAGAAACTTATTTGAGATGTGTGTACTCAACTAAGAGAATTGAACCACCGTTTTGAAGGAGCAGTTTTGAAACTCTCTTTTTCTGGAATCTGCAAGTGGATATTTGGCTAGCTTTGGGGATTTCGCTGGAAGCGGGAATACATATAAAAAGCACACAGCAGCGTTCTGAGAAACTGCTTTCTGATGTTTGCATTCAAGTCAAAAGTTGAACACTCCCTTTCATAGAGCAGTCTTGAAATACCCGTTTTGTAGTATCTGGAACTGGACTTTTGGAGCGATTTCAGGGCTAAGGTGAAAAAGGAAATATCTTCCCATAAAAACTGGACAGAAGCATTCTCAGAAACTTGTTTATGCTGTATCTACTCAACTAACAAAGTTGAACCTTTCTTTTGATAGAGCAGTTTTGAAATGGTCTTTTTGTGGAATCTGCAAGTGGATATTTGGCTAGTTTTGAGGATTTCGTTGGAAGCGGGAATTCATACAAATTGCAGACTGCAGCGTTCTGAGAAACATCTTTGTGATGTTTGTATTCAGGACACAGAGTTGAACATTCCCTATCATAGAGCAGGTTTGAATCACTCCTTTTGTAGTATCTGGAAGTGGACATTTGGAGCGCTTTCAGGCCTATGTTGGAAAAGGAAATATTTTCCCATAACAACTAGACAGAAGCATTCTCAGAAACTTGTTTGTGATGTGTGCCCTCTACTGACAGAGTTGAACCTTTCTTTTCATAGAGCAGTTTTGAAACACTCTTTTTGTAGAATCTGCAAGAGGATATTTGCATAGCTTTGAGGATTTCGTGGGAAACGGGATTGTCTTCAGGTAAAATCTAGACAGAAGCATTCTCAGAAACTTCTTTGGGATGTTTGCATTCAAGTCACAGAGTAGAACATTCCCTTTGGTAGAGCAGGTTTGAAACACTCTTTTTGTAGTATCTGGAAGTGGACATTTGGAGCGCTTTCAGGCCCATGTTGGAAAGGGAAATATCTTCCCGTAACAACTAGGCAGAAGCATTCTCAGAAACTTATTTGAGATGTGTGTACTCAACTAAGAGAATTGAACCACCGTTTTGAAGGAGCAGTTTTGAAACACTCTTTTTCTGGAATCTGCAAGAGTATATTTGCCTAGCCTTGAGGATTTCGTTGGAAACGGGATTGTCTTCAGAGAAAATCTAGACAGAAGCATTCTCAGAAACTTCTTTGGGATGTTTGCATTCAAGTCACAGAGTAGAACATTCCCTTTGGTAGAGCAGGTTTGAAACACTCTTTTTTTAGTATATGGAAGTGGACATTTGGAGCGCTTTCAGGCCTACGTTGGAAAAGGAAATATCTTCCCATAACAACTAGACAGAAGCATTCTCAGAAACTAGTTTCTGATGTGTGTCCTCAACTAACACAGTTGTACATTTCTTTAGACAGAACAGTTTTGAAACACTCTTTTTGTGGAATCTGCAAGTGGATATTGGGCTAGATTTGAGGATTTCGTTGGAAACGGGATTACATATAAAAAGCAGTGAGCAGCATTCTCAGAAAGTTCTTTGTGATGATTGCATTCAAGTCACAGAATTGAACATTCCCTTTCACAGAGCAGGTTTGAAACACTCTTTTTGTAGTGTGTGTAAGTGGACATTTGGAGCACTTACCGGCCTAAGGTGAAAAAGGAAATATCTTCCCATAAAAACTAGACAGAAGCATTCTCAGAAACTTACTCGTGATGTGTGTCCTCAACTAAAGGAGTAGAACCTTTCTTTTCATAGAGAAGTTTTGAAACGCTCTTTTTGTGGAATCTGCAAGTGGATATTTGGCTAGTTTTGAGGATTTCTTTGGAAGCGGGAATTCATACAAATTGCAGACTGCAGCGTTCTGAGAAACATCTTTGTGATGTTTGTATTCAGGACACAGAGTTGAACATTCCCTATCATAGAGCAGGTTTGAATCACTCCTTTTGTAGTATCTGGAAGTGGACATTTGGAGCGCTTTCAGGCCTATGTTGGAAAAGGAAATATCTTCCCATAACAACTAGACAGAAGCATTCTCAGAAACTTATTTGAGATGTGTGTACTCAACTAAGAGAATTGAACCACCGTTTTGAAGGAGCAGTTTTGAAACACTCTTTTTCTGGAATCTGCAAGTGGATATTTGGCTAGCTTTGGGGATTTCGCTGGAAGCGGGAATACATATAAAAAGCACACAGCAGCGTTCTGAGAAACTGCTTTCTGATGTTTGCATTCAAGTCAAAAGTTGAACACTCCCTTTCATAGAGCAGTCCTGAAACACTCCTTTTGTAGTATCTGGAACTGGACTTTTGGAGCGCTTTCAGGGCTAAGGTGAAAAAGGAAATATCTTCCCATAAAAACTGGACAGAAGCATTCTCAGAAACTTGTTTATGCTGTATCTACTCAACTAACAAAGTTGAACCTTTCTTTTGATAGAGCAGTTTTGAAATGCTCTTTTTGTGGAATCTGCAAGTGGATATTTGGCTAGTTTTGAGGATTTCGTTGGAAGCGGGAATTCATACAAATTGCAGACTGCAGCGTTCTGAGAAACATCTTTGTGATGTTTGTATTCAGGACAGAGAGTTGAACATTCCCTATCATAGAGCAGGTTGGAATCACTCCTTTTGTAGTATCTGGAAGTGGACATTTGGAGCGCTTTCAGGCCTATGTTGAAAAAGGAAATATCTTCCCATAACAACTAGACACAAGCATTCTCAGAAACTTGTTTGTGATGTGTGCCCTCTACTGACAGAGTTGAACCTTTCTTTTCATAGAGCAGTTTTGAAACACTCTTTTTGTAGAATCTGCAAGAGGATATTTGCATAGCTTTGAGGATTTCGTGGGAAACGGGATTGTCTTCAGGTAAAATCTAGACAGAAGCATTCTCAGAAACTTCTTTGGGATGTTTGCATTCAAGTCACAGAGTAGAACATTCCCTTTGGTAGAGCAGGTTTGAAACACTCTTTTTGTAGTATCTGGAAGTGGACATTTGGAGCGCTTTCAGGCCTATGTTGGAAAGGGAAATATCTTCCGGTAACAACTAGGCAGAAGCATTCTCAGAAACTTATTTGAGATGTGTGTACTCAACTAAGAGAATTGAACCACCGTTTTGAAGGAGCAGTTTTGAAACACTCTTTTTCTGGAATCTGCAAGAGGATATTTGCCTAGCTTTGAGGATTTCGTTGGAAACGGGATTGTGTTCAGATCAAATCTAGACAGAAGCATTCTCAGAAACTTCTTTGGGATGTTTGCATTCAAGTCACAGAGTAGAACATTCCCTTTGGTAGAGCAGGTGTGAAACACTCTTTTTTTAGTATATGGAAGTGGACATTTGGAGCGCTTTCAGGCCTACTTTGGAAAACGAAATATCTTCCCATAACAACTAGACAGAAGCATTCTCAGAAACTAGTTTCTGATGTGTGTCCTCAACTAACACAGTTGAACATTTCTTTAGACAGAACAGTTTTGAAACTCTCTTTTTGTGGAATCTGCAAGTGGCTATTTGTCTAGATTTGAGGATTTCGTTGGAAACGGGATTACATATAAAAAGCAGACAGCAGCATTCTCAGAAAGTTCATTGTGATGATTGCATTCAAGTCACAGAATTGAACATTCCCTTTCACAGAGCAGGTTTGAAACACTCTTTTTGTAGTGTGTGTAAGTGGACATTTGGAGCACTTTCCGGCCTAAGGTGAGAAAGGAAATATCTTCCCATAAAAACTAGACAGAAGCATTCTCAGCAAACTTACTCGTGATGTGTGTCCTCAACTAAAGGAGTAGAAACTTTCTATTCATAGAGAAGTTTTGAAACGCTCTTTTTGTGGAATCTCCAAGTGGATATTTGGCTAGTTTTGAGGATTTCGTTGGAAGCGGGAATTCATACAAATTGCAGACTGCAGCATTCTCAGAAACTTGTTTATGCTGTATCTACTCAACTAACAAAGTTGAACCTTTCTTTTGATAGAGCAGTTTTGAAATGCTCTTTTTGTGGAATCTGCAAGTGGATATTTGGCTAGTTTTGAGGATTTCGTTGGAAGCGGGAATTCATACAAATTGCAGACTGCAGCGTTCTGAGAAACATCTTTGTGATGTTTGTATTCAGGACACAGAGTTGAACATTCCCTATCATAGAGCAGGTTGGAATCACTCCTTTTGTAGTATCTGGAAGTGGACATTTGGAGCGCTTTCAGGCCTATGTTGAAAAAGGAAATATATTCCCATAACAACTAGACACAAGCATTCTCAGAAACTTGTTTGTGATGTGTGCCCTCTAGTGACAGAGTTGAACCTTTCTTTTCATAGAGCAGTTTTGAAACACTCTTTTTGTAGAATCTGCAAGAGGATATTTGCATAGCTTTGAGGATTTCGTGGGAAACGGGATTGTCTTCAGGTAAAATCTAGACAGAAGCATTCTCAGAAACTTCTTTGGGATGTTTGCATTCAAGTCACAGAGTAGAACATTCCCTTTGGTAGAGCAGGTTTGAAACACTCTTTTTGTAGTATCTGGAAGTGGACATTTGGAGCGCTTTCAGGCCTATGTTGGAAAGGGAAATATCTTCCCGTAACAACTAGGCAGAAGCATTCTCAGAAACTTATTTGAGATGTGTGTACTCAACTAAGAGAATTGAACCACCGTTTTGAAGGAGCAGTTTTGAAACACTCTTTTTCTGGAATCTGCAAGAGGATATTTGCCTAGCCTTGAGGATTTCGTTGGAAACGGGATTGTCTTCAGATCAAATCTAGACAGAAGCATTCTCAGAAACTTCTTTGGGATGTTTGCATTCAAGTCACAGAGTAGAACATTCCCTTTGGTAGAGCAGGTTTGAAATACTCTTTTTTTAGTATATGGAAGTGGACATTTGGAGCGCTTTCAGGCCTACGTTGGAAAAGGAAATATCTTCCCATAACAACTAGACAGAAGCATTCTCAGAAACTAGTTTCTGATGCGTGTCCTCAACTAACACAGTTGAACATTTCTTTAGACAGAAAAGTTTTGAAACACTCTTTTTGTGGAATCTGCAAGTGGCTATTTGGCTAGATTTGAGGATTTCGTTGGAAACGGGATTACATATAAAAAGCAGACAGCAGCATTCTCAGAAAGTTCTTTGTGATGATTGCATTCAAGTCACAGAATTGAACATTCCCTTTCACAGAGCAGGTTTGAAACACTCTTTTTGTAGTGTGTGTAAGTGGACATTTGGAGCACTTTCCGGCCTAAGGTGAAAAAGGAAATATCTTCCCATAAAAACTAGACAGAAGCATTCTCAGAAACTTACTCGTGATGTGTGTCCTCAACTAAAGGAGTAGAACCTTCCTTTTCATAGAGAAGTTTTGAAACGCTCTTTTTGTGGAATCTGCAAGTGGATATTTGGCTAGTTTTGAGGATTTCGTTGGAAGCGGGAATTCATACAAATTGCAGACTGCAGCGTTCTGAGAAACATCTTTGTGATGTTTGTATTCAGGACACAGAGTGGAACATTCCCTATCATAGAGCAGGTTGGAATCACTCCTTTTGTAGTATCTGGAAGTGGACATTTGGAGCGCTTTCAGGCCTATGTTGAAAAAGGAAATATCTTCCCATAACAACTAGACACAAGCATTCTCAGAAACTTGTTTGTGATGTGTGCCCTCTACTGACAGAGTTGAACCTTTCTTTTCATAGAGCAGTTTTGAAACACTGTTTTTGTAGAATCTGCAAGAGGATATTTGCATAGCTTTGAGGATTTCGTGGGAAACGGGATTGTCTTCAGGTAAAATCTAGACAGAAGCATTCTCAGAAACTTCTTTGGGATGTTTGCATTCAAGTCACAGAGTAGAACATTCCCTTTGGTAGAGCAGGTTTGAAACACTCTTTTTGTAGTATCTGGAAGTGGACATTTGGAGCGCTTTCAGGCCTATGTTGGAAAGGGAAATATCTTCCCGTAACAACTAGGCAGAAGCATTCTCAGAAACTTATTTGAGATGTGTGTACTCAACTAAGAGAATTGAACCACCGTTTTGAAGGAGCAGTTTTGAAACACTCTTTTTCTGGAATCTGCAAGAGGATATTTGACTAGCCTTGAGGATTTCGTTGGAAACGGGATTGTCTTCAGATCAAATCTAGACAGAAGCATTCTCAGAAACTTCTTTGGGATGTTTGCATTCAAGTCACAGAGTAGAACATTCCCTTTGGTAGAGCAGGTTTGAAACACTCTTTTTTTAGTATATGGAAGTGGACATTTGGAGCGCTTTCAGGCCTACGTTGGAAAAGGAAATATCTTCCCATAACAACTAGACAGAAGCATTCTCAGAAACTAGTTTCTGATGTGTGTCCTCAACTAACACAGTTGAACATTTCTTTAGACAGAACAGTTTTGAAACACTCTTTTTGTGGAATCTGCAAGTGGCTATTTGGCTAGATTTGAGGATTTCGTTGGAAACGGGATTACATATAAAAAGCAGTCAGCAGCATTCTCAGAAAGTTCTTTGTGATGATTGCATTCAAGTCACAGAATTGAACATTCCCTTTCACAGAGCAGGTTTGAAACACTCTTTTTGTAGTGTGTGTAAGTGGACATTTGGAGCACTTACCGGCCTAAGGTGAAAAAGGAAATATCTTCCCATAAAAACTAGACAGAAGCATTCTCAGAAACTTACTCGTGATGTGTGTCCTCAACTAAAGGAGTAGAACCTTTCTTTTCATAGAGAAGTTTTGAAACGCTCTTTTTGTGGAATCTGCAAGTGGATATTTGGCTAGTTTTGAGGATTTCGTTGGAAGCGGGAATTCATACAAATTGCAGACTGCAGCGTTCTGAGAAACATCTTTGTGATGTTTGTATTCAGGACACAGAGTTGAACATTCCCTATCATAGAGCAGGTTGGAATCACTCCTTTTGTAGTATCTGGAAGTGGACATTTGGAGCGCTTTCAGGCCTATGTTGGAAAAGGAAATATCTTCCCATAACAACTAGACAGAAGCATTCTCAGAAACTTGTTTGTGATGTGTGCCCTCTACTGACAGAGTTGAACCTTTCTTTTCATAGAGCAGTTTTGAAACACTCTTTTTGTAGAATCTGCAAGAGGATATTTGCATAGCTTTGAGGATTTCGTGGGAAACGGGATTGTCTTCAGGTAAAATCTAGACAGAAGCATTCTCAGAAACTTCTTTGGGATGTTTGCATTCAAGTCACAGAGTAGAACATTCCCTTTGGTAGAGCAGGTTTGAAACACTCTTTTTGTAGTATCTGGAAGTGGACATTTGGAGCGCTTTCAGGCCTATGTTGGAAAGGGAAATATCTTCCCGTAACAACTAGGCAGAAGCATTCTCAGAAACTTATTTGAGATGTGTGTACTCAACTAAGAGAATTGAACCACCGTTTTGAAGGAGCAGTTTTGAAACACTCTTTTTCTGGAATCTGCAAGAGGATATTTGCCTAGCCTTGAGGATTTCGTTGGAAACGGGATTGTCTTCAGATCAAATCTAGACAGAAGCGTTCTGAGAAACATCTTTGTGATGTTTGTATTCAGGACACAGAGTTGAACATTCCCTATCATAGAGCAGGTTGGAATCACTCCTTTTGTAGTATCTGGAAGTGGACATTTGGAGCGCTTTCAGGCCTACGTTGGAAAAGGAAATATCTTTCCATAACAACTAGACAGAAGCATTCTCAGAAACTAGTTTCTGATGTGTGTCCTCAACTAACACAGTTGAACATTTCTTTAGACAGAACAGTTTTGAAACACTCTTTTTGTGGAATCTGCAAGTGGCTATTTGGCTAGATTTGAGGATTTCGTTGGAAACGGGATTACATATAAAAAGCAGACAGCAGCATTCTCAGAAAGTTCTTTGGGATGATTGCATTCAAGTCACAGAATTGAACATTCCCTTTCACAGAGCAGGTTTGAAACACTCTTTTTGTAGTGTGTGTAAGTGGACATTTGGAGCACTTTCCGGCCTAAGGTGAAAAAGGAAATATCTTCCCATAAAAACTAGACAGAAGCATTCTCAGAAACTTACTCGTGATGTGTGTCCTCAACTAAAGGAGTAGAACCTTTCTTTTCATAGAGAAGTTTTGAAACGCTCTTTTTGTGGAATCTGCAAGTGGATATTTGGCTAGTTTTGAGGATTTCGTTGGAAGCGGGAATTCATACAAATTGCAGACTGCAGCGTTCTGAGAAACATCTTTGTGATGTTTGTATTCAGGACACAGAGTTGAACATTCCCTATCATAGAGCAGGTTGGAATCACTCCTTTTGTAGTATCTGGAAGTGGACATTTGGAGCGCTTTCAGGCCTATGTTGGAAAAGGAAATATCTTCCCATAACAACTAGACAGAAGCATTCTCAGAAACTTATTTGAGATGTGTGTACTCAACTAAGAGAATTGAACCACCGTTTTGAAGGAGCAGTTTTGAAACTCTCTTTTTCTGGAATCTGCAAGTGGATATTTGGCTAGCTTTGGGGATTTCGCTGGAAGCGGGAATACATATAAAAAGCACACAGCAGCGTTCTGAGAAACTGCTTTCTGATGTTTGCATTCAAGTCAAAAGTTGAACACTCCCTTTCATAGAGCAGTCCTGAAACACCCCTTTGGTAGTATCTGGAACTGGACTTTTGGAGCGATTTCAGGGCTAAGGTGAAAAAGGAAATATCTTCCCATAAAAACTGGACAGAAGCATTCTCAGAAACTTGTTTATGCTGTATCTACTCAACTAACAAAGTTGAACCTTTCTTTTGATAGAGCAGTTTTGAAATGGTCTTTTTGTGGAATCTGCAAGTGGATATTTGGCTAGTTTTGAGGATTTCGTTGGAAGCGGGAATTCATACAAATTGCAGACTGCAGCGTTCTGAGAAACATCTTTGTGATGTTTGTATTCAGGACACAGAGTTGAACATTCCCTATCATAGAGCAGGTTGGAATCACTCCTTTTGTAGTATCTGGAAGTGGACATTTGGAGCGCTTTCAGGCCTATTTTGGAAAGGGAAATATCTTCCCGTAACAACTATGCAGAAGCATTCTCAGAAACTTGTTTGTGATGTGTGCCCTCTACTGACAGAGTTGAACCTTTCTTTTCATAGAGCAGTTTTGAAACACTCTTTTTGTAGAATCTGCAAGAGGATATTTGCATAGCTTTGAGGATTTCGTGGGAAACGGGATTGTCTTCAGGTAAAATCTAGACAGAAGCATTCTCAGAAACTTCTTTGGGATGTTTGCATTCAAGTCACAGAGTAGAACATTCCCTTTGGTAGAGCAGGTTTGAAACCCTCTTTTTGTAGTATCTGGAAGTGGACATTCGGAGCGCTATCAGGCCCATGTTGGAAAGGGAAATATTTTCCCGTAACAACTAGGCAGAAGCATTCTCAGAAACTTATTTGAGATGTGTGTACTCAACTAAGAGAATTGAACCACCGTTTTGAAGGAGCAGTTTTGAAACACTCTTTTTCTGGAATCTGCAAGAGTATATTTGCCTAGCCTTGAGGATTTCGTTGGAAACGGGATTGTCTTCAGAGAAAATCTAGACAGAAGCATTCTCAGAAACTTCTTTGGGATGTTTGCATTCAAGTCACAGAGTAGAACATTCCCTTTGGTAGAGCAGGTTTGAAACACTCTTTTTTTAGTATATGGAAGTGGACATTTGGATCGCTTTCAGGCCTACGTTGGAAAAGGAAATATCTTCCCATAACAACTAGACAGAAGCATTCTCAGAAACTAGTTTCTGATGTGTGTCCTCAACTAACACAGTTGAACATTTCTTTAGACAGAACAGTTTTGAAACACTCTTTTTGTGGAATCTGCAAGTGGCTATTTGGCTAGATTTGAGGATTTCGTTGGAAACGGGATTACATATAAAAAGCAGTCAGCAGCATTCTCAGAAAGTTCTTTGTGATGATTGCATTCAAGTCACAGAATTGAACATTCCCTTTCACAGAGCAGGTTTGAAACACTCTTTTTGTAGTGTGTGTAAGTGGACATTTGGAGCACTTACCGGCCTAAGGTGAAAAAGGAAATATCTTCCCATAAAAACTAGACAGAAGCATTCTCAGAAACTTACTCGTGATGTGTGTCCTCAACTAAAGGAGTAGAACCTTCCTTTTCATAGAGAAGTTTTGAAACGCTCTTTTTGTGGAATCTGCAAGTGGATATTTGGCTAGTTTTGAGGATTTCCGTTGGAAGCGGGAATTCATACAAATTGCAGACTGCAGCGTTCTGAGAAACATCTTTGTGATGTTTGTATTCAGGACAGAGAGTTGAACATTCCCTATCATAGAGCAGGTTGGAATCACTCCTTTTGTAGTATCTGGAAGTGGACATTTGGAGCGCTTTCAGGCCTATGTTGAAAAAGGAAATATACTTCCCATAACAACTAGACACAAGCATTCTCAGAAACTTGTTTGTGATGTGTGCCCTCTACTGACAGAGTTGAACCTTTCTTTTCATAGAGCAGTTTTGAAACACTCTTTTTGTAGAATCTGCAAGAGGATATTTGCATAGCTTTGAGGATTTCGTGGGAAACGGGATTGTCTTCAGGTAAAATCTAGACAGAAGCATTCTCAGAAACTTCTTTGGGATGTTTGCATTCAAGTCACAGAGTAGAACATTCCCTTTGGTAGAGCAGGTTTGAAACACTCTTTTTGTAGTATCTGGAAGTGGACATTTGGAGCGCTTTCAGGCCTATGTTGGAAAGGGAAATATCTTCCCGTAACAACTAGGCAGAAGCATTCTCAGAAACTTATTTGAGATGTGTGTACTCAACTAAGAGAATTGAACCACCGTTTTGAAGGAGCAGTTTTGAAACACTCTTTTTCTGGAATCTGCAAGAGGATATTTGCCTAGCCTTGAGGATTTCGTTGGAAACGGGATTGTCTTCAGATCAAATCTAGACAGAAGCATTCTCAGAAACTTCTTTGGGATGTTTGCATTCAAGTCACAGAGTAGAACATTCCCTTTGGTAGAGCAGGTTTGAAACACTCTTTTTTTAGTATATGGAAGTGGACATTTGGAGCGCTTTCAGGCCTACGTTGGAAAAGGAAATATCTTCCCATAACAACTAGACAGAAGCATTCTCAGAAACTAGTTTCTGATGTGTGTCCTCAACTAACACAGTTGAACATTTCTTTAGACAGAACAGTTTTGAAACACTCTTTTTGTGGAATCTGCAAGTGGCTATTTGGCTAGATTTGAGGATTTCGTTGGAAACGGGATTACATATAAAAAGCAGACAGCAGCATTCTCAGAAAGTTCTTTGTGATGATTGCATTCAAGTCACAGAATTGAACATTCCCTTTCACAGAGCAGGTTTGAAACACTCTTTTTGTAGTGTGTGTAAGTGGACATTTGGAGCACTTTCCGGCCTAAGGTGAAAAAGGAAATATCTTCCCATACAAACTAGACAGAAGCATTCTCAGAAACTTACTCGTGATGTGTGTCCTCAACTAAAGGAGTAGAACCTTTCTTTTCATAGAGAAGTTTTGAAACGCTCTTTTTGTGGAATCTGCAAGTGGATATTTGGCTAGTTTGGAGGATTTCGTTGGAAGCGGGAATTCATACAAATTGCAGACTGCAGCGTTCTGAGAAACATCTTTGTGATGTTTGTATTCAGGACACAGAGTTGAACATTCCCTATCATAGAGCAGGTTGGAATCACTCCTTTTGTAGTATCTGGAAGTGGACATTTGGAGCGCTTTCAGGCCTATGTTGGAAAAGGAAATATCTTCCCATAACAACTAGACAGAAGCATTCTCAGAAACTTATTTGAGATGTGTGTACTCAACTAAGAGAATTGAACCACCGTTTTGAAGGAGCAGTTTTGAAACTCTCTTTTTCTGGAATCTGCAAGTGGATATTTGGCTAGCTTTGGGGATTTCGCTGGAAGCGGGAATACATATAAAAAGCACACAGCAGCGTTCTGAGAAACTGCTTTCTGATGTTTGCATTCAAGTCAAAAGTTGAACACTCCCTTTCATAGAGCAGTCTTGAAACACCCCTTTTGTAGTATCTGGAACTGGACTTTTGGAGCGATTTCAGGGCTAAGGTGAAAAAGGAAATATCTTCCCATAAAAACTGGACAGAAGCATTCTCAGAAAATTGTTTATGCTGTATCTACTCAACTAACAAAGTTGAACCTTTCTTTTGATAGAGCAGTTTTGAAATGGTCTTTTTGTGGAATCTGCAAGTGGATATTTGGCTAGTTTTGAGGATTTCTTTGGAAGCGGGAATTCATACAAATTGCAGACTGCAGCGTTCTGAGAAACATCTTTGTGATGTTTGTATTCAGGACACAGAGTTGAACATTCCCTATCATAGAGCAGGTTGGAATCACTCCTTTTGTAGTATCTGGAAGTGGACATTTGGAGCGCTTTCAGGCCTATTTTGGAAAGGGAAATATCTTCCCGTAACAACTATGCAGAAGCATTCTCAGAAACTTGTTTGTGATGTGTGCCCTCTACTGACAGAGTTGAACCTTTCTTTTCATAGAGCAGTTTTGAAACACTCTTTTTGTAGAATCTGCAAGAGGATATTTGCATAGCTTTGAGGATTTCGTGGGAAACGGGATTGTCTTCAGGTAAAATCTAGACAGAAGCATTCTCAGAAACTTCTTTGGGATGTTTGCATTCAAGTCACAGAGTAGAACATTCCCTTTGGTAGAGCAGGTTTGAAACACTCTTTTTGTAGTATCTGGAAGTGGACATTTGGAGCGCTTTCAGGCCTATGTTGGAAAGGGAAATATCTTCCCGTAACAACTAGGCAGAAGCATTCTCAGAAACTTATTTGAGATGTGTGTACTCAACTAAGAGAATTGAACCACCGTTTTGAAGGAGCAGTTTTGAAACACTCTTTTTCTGGAATCTGCAAGAGGATATTTGCCTAGCCATGAGGATTTCGTTGGAAACGGGATTGTCTTCAGATCAAATCTAGACAGAAGCATTCTCAGAAACTTCTTTGGGATGTTTGCATTCAAGTCACAGAGTAGAACATTCCCTTTGGTAGAGCAGGTTTGAAACACTCTTTTTTTAGTATATGGAAGTGGACATTTGGAGCGCTTTCAGGCCTACGTTGGAAAAGGAAATATCTTCCCATAACAACTAGACAGAAGCATTCTCAGAAACTAGTTTCTGATGTGTGTCCTCAACTAACACAGTTGAACATTTCTTTAGACAGAACAGTTTTGAAACACTCTTTTTGTGGAATCTGCAAGAGGCTATTTGGCTAGATTTGAGGATTTCGTTGGAAACGGGATTACATATAAAAAGCAGTCAGCAGCATTCTCAGAAAGTTCTTTGTGATGATTGCATTCAAGTCACAGAATTGAACATTCCCTTTCACAGAGCAGGTTTGAAACACTCTTTTTGTAGTGTGTGTAAGTGGACATTTGGAGCACTTACCGGCCTAAGGTGAAAAAGGAAATATCTTCCCATAAAAACTAGACAGAAGCATTCTCAGAAACTTACTCGTGATGTGTGTCCTCAACTAAAGGAGTAGAACCTTTCTTTTCATAGAGAAGTTTTGAAACGCTCTTTTTGTGGAATCTGCAAGTGGATATTTGGCTAGTTTTGAGGATTTCGTTGGAAGCGGGAATTCATACAAATTGCAGACTGCAGCGTTCTGAGAAACATCTTTGTGATGTTTGTATTCAGGACACAGAGTTGAACATTCCCTATCATAGAGCAGGTTGGAATCACTCCTTTTGTAGTATCTGGAAGTGGACATTTGGAGCGCTTTCAGGCCTATGTTGGAAAAGGAAATATCTTCCCATAACAACTAGACAGAAGCATTCTCAGAAACTTATTTGAGATGTGTGTACTCAACTAAGAGAATTGAACCACCGTTTTGAAGGAGCAGTTTTGAAACTCTCTTTTTCTGGAATCTGCAAGTGGATATTTGGCTAGCTTTGGGGATTTCGCTGGAAGCGGGAATACATATAAAAAGCACACAGCAGCGTTCTGAGAAACTGCTTTCTGATGTTTGCATTCAAGTCAAAAGTTGAACACTCCCTTTCATAGAGCAGTCTTGTAACACCCGTTTTGTAGTATCTGGAACTGGACTTTTGGAGCGATTTCAGGGCTAAGGTGAAAAAGGAAATATCTTCCCATAAAAACTGGACAGAAGCATTCTCAGAAACTTGTTTATGCTGTAACTACTCAACTAACAAAGTTGAACCTTTCTTTTGATAGAGCAGTTTTGAAATGGTCTTTTTGTGGAATCTGCAAGTGGATATTTGGCTAGTTTTGAGGATTTCGTTGGAAGCGGGAATTCATACAAATTGCAGACTGCAGCGTTCTGAGAAACATCTTTGTGATGTTTGTATTCAGGACACAGAGTTGAACATTCCCTATCATAGAGCAGGTTGGAATCACTCCTTTTGTAGTATCTGGAAGTGGACATTTGGAGCGCTTTCAGGCCTATTTTGGAAAGGGAAATATCTTCCCGTAACAACTATGCAGAAGCATTCTCAGAAACTTGTTTGTGATGTGTGCCCTCTACTGACAGAGTTGAACCTTTCTTTTCATAGAGCAGTTTTGAAACACTCTTTTTGTAGAATCTGCAAGAGGATATTTGCATAGCTTTGAGGATTTCGTGGGAAACGGGATTGTCTTCAGGTAAAATCTAGACAGAAGCATTCTCAGAAACTTCTTTGGGATGTTTGCATTCAAGTCACAGAGTAGAACATTCCCTTTGGTAGAGCAGGTTTGAAACACTCTTTTTGTAGTATCTGGAAGTGGACATTTGGAGCGCTTTCAGGCCCATGTTGGAAAGGGAAATATCTTCCCGTAACAACTAGGCAGAAGCATTCTCAGAAACTTATTTGAGATGTGTGTACTCAACTAAGAGAATTGAACCACCGTTTTGAAGGAGCAGTTTTGAAACACTCTTTTTCTGGAATCTGCAAGAGTATATTTGCCTAGCCTTGAGGATTTCGTTGGAAACGGGATTGTCTTCAGAGAAAATCTAGACAGAAGCATTCTCAGAAACTTCTTTGGGATGTTTGCATTCAAGTCACAGAGTAGAACATTCCCTTTGGTAGAGCAGGTTTGAAACACTCTTTTTTTAGTATATGGAAGTGGACATTTGGAGCGCTTTCAGGCCTACGTTGGAAAAGGAAATATCTTCCCATAACAACTAGACAGAAGCATTCTCAGAAACTAGTTTCTGATGTGTGTCCTCAACTAACACAGTTGAACATTTCTTTAGACAGAACAGTTTTGAAACACTCTTTTTGTGGAATCTGCAAGTGGCTATTTGGCTAGATTTGAGGATTTCGTTGGAAACGGGATTACATATAAAAAGCAGTCAGCAGCATTCTCAGAAAGTTCTTTGTGATGATTGCATTCAAGTCACAGAATTGAACATTCCCTTTCACAGAGCAGGTTTGAAACACTCTTTTTGTAGTGTGTGTAAGTGGACATTTGGAGCACTTACCGGCCTAAGGTGAAAAAGGAAATATCTTCCCATAAAAACTAGACAGAAGCATTCTCAGAAACTTACTCGTGATGTGTGTCCTCAACTAAAGGAGTAGAACCTTTCTTTTCATAGAGAAGTTTTGAAACGCTCTTTTTGTGGAATCTGCAAGTGGATATTTGGCTAGTTTTGAGGATTTCGTTGGAAGCGGGAATTCATACAAATTGCAGACTGCAGCGTTCTGAGAAACATCTTTGTGATGTTTGTATTCAGGACACAGAGTTGAACATTCCCTATCATAGAGCAGGTTGGAATCACTCCTTTTGTAGTATCTGGAAGTGGACATTTGGAGCGCTTTCAGGCCTATGTTGGAAAAGGAAATATCTTCCCATAACAACTAGACAGAAGCATTCTCAGAAACTTATTTGAGATGTGTGTACTCAACTAAGAGAATTGAACCACCGTTTTGAAGGAGCAGTTTTGAAACTCTCTTTTTCTGGAATCTGCAAGTGGATATTTGGCTAGCTTTGGGGATTTCGCTGGAAGCGGGAATACATATAAAAAGCACACAGCAGCGTTCTGAGAAACTGCTTTCTGATGTTTGCATTCAAGTCAAAAGTTGAACACTCCCTTTCATAGAGCAGTCTTGAAACACCCCTTTTGTAGTATCTGGAACTGGACTTTTGGAGCGATTTCAGGGCTAAGGTGAAAAAGGAAATATCTTCCCATAAAAACTGGACAGAAGCATTCTCAGAAACTTGGTTATGCTGTATCTACTCAACTAACAAAGTTGAACCTTTCTTTTGATAGAGCAGTTTTGAAATGGTCTTTTTGTGGAATCTGCAAGTGGATATTTGGCTAGTTTTGAGGATTTCGTTGGAAGCGGGAATTCATACAAATTGCAGACTGCAGCGTTCTGAGAAACATCTTTGTGATGTTTGTATTCAGGACACAGAGTTGAACATTCCCTATCATAGAGCAGGTTGGAATCACTCCTTTTGTAGTATCTGGAAGTGGACATTTGGAGCGCTTTCAGGCCTATTTTGGAAAGGGAAATATCTTCCCGTAACAACTATGCAGAAGCATTCTCAGAAACTTGTTTGTGATGTGTGCCCTCTACTGACAGAGTTGAACCTTTCTTTTCATAGAGCAGTTTTGAAGCACTCTTTTTGTAGAATCTGCAAGAGGATATTTGCATAGCTTTGAGGATTTCGTTGGAAACGGGATTGTCTTCAGGTAAAATCTAGACAGAAGCATTCTCAGAAACTTCTTTGGGATGTTTGCATTCAAGTCACAGAGTAGAACATTCCCTTTGGTAGAGCAGGTTTGAAACACTCTTTTTGTAGTATCTGGAAGTGGACATTTGGAGCGCTTTCAGGCCCATGTTGGAAAGGAAAATATCTTCCCGTAACAACTAGGCAGAAGCATTCTCAGAAACTTATTTGAGATGTGTGTACTCAACTAAGAGAATTGAACCACCGTTTTGAAGGAGCAGTTTTGAAACACTCTTTTTCTGGAATCTGCAAGAGTATATTTGCCTAGCCTTGAGGATTTCGTTGGAAACGGGATTGTCTTCAGAGAAAATCTAGACAGAAGCATTCTCAGAAACTTCTTTGGGATGTTTGCATTCAAGTCACAGAGTAGAACATTCCCTTTGGTAGAGCAGGTTTGAAACACTCTTTTTTTAGTATATGGAAGTGGACATTTGGATCGCTTTCAGGCCTACGTTGGAAAAGGAAATATCTTCCCATAACAACTAGACAGAAGCATTCTCAGAAACTAGTTTCTGATGTGTGTCCTCAACTAACACAGTTGAACATTTCTATAGACAGAACAGTTTTGAAACACTCTTTTTGTGGAATCTGCAAGTGGCTATTTGGCTAGATTTGAGGATTTCGTTGGAAACGGGATTACATATAAAAAGCAGTCAGCAGCATTCTCAGAAAGTTCTTTGTGATGATTGCATTCAAGTCACAGAATTGAACATTCCCTTTCACAGAGCAGGTTTGAAACACTCTTTTTGTAGTGTGTGTAAGTGGACATTTGGAACCCTTACCGGCCTAAGGTGAAAAAGGAAATATCTTCCCATAAAAACTAGACAGAAGCATTCTCAGAAACTTACTCGTGATGTGTGTCCTCAACTAAAGGAGTAGAACCTTTCTTTTCATAGAGAAGTTTTGAAACGCTCTTTTTGTGGAATCTGCAAGTGGATATTTGGCTAGTTTTGAGGATTTCGTTGGAAGCGGGAATTCATACAAATTGCAGACTGCAGCGTTCTGAGAAACATCTTTGTGATGTTTGTATTCAGGACACAGAGTTGAACATTCCCTATCATAGAGCAGGTTGGAATCACTCCTTTTGTAGTATCTGGAAGTGGACATTTGGAGCGCTTTCAGGCCTATGTTGGAAAAGGAAATATCTTCCCATAACAACTAGACAGAAGCATTCTCAGAAACTTATTTGAGATGTGTGTACTCAACTAAGAGAATTGAACCACCGTTTTGAAGGAGCAGTTTTGAAACTCTCTTTTTCTGGAATCTGCAAGTGGATATTTGGCTAGCTTTGGGGATTTCGCTGGAAGCGGGAATACATATAAAAAGCACACAGCAGCGTTCTGAGAAACTGCTTTCTGATGTTTGCATTCAAGTCAAAAGTTGAACACTCCCTTTCATAGAGCAGTCTTGAAACACCCCTTTTGTAGTATCTGGAACTGGACTTTTGGAGCGATTTCAGGGCTAAGGTGAAAAAGGAAATATCTTCCCATAAAAACTGGACAGAAGCATTCTCAGAAACTTGTTTATGCTGTATCTACTCAACTAACAAAGTTGAACCTTTCTTTTGATAGAGCAGTTTTGAAATGGTCTTTTTGTGGAATCTGCAAGTGGATATTTGGCTAGTTTTGAGGATTTCGTTGGAAGCGGGAATTCATACAAATTGCAGACTGCAGCGTTCTGAGAAACATCTTTGTGATGTTTGTATTCAGGACACAGAGTTGAACATTCCCTATCATAGAGCAGGTTGGAATCACTCCTTTTGTAGTATCTGGAAGTGGACATTTGGAGCGCTTTCAGGCCTATTTTGGAAAGGGAAATATCTTCCCGTAACAACTATGCAGAAGCATTCTCAGAAACTTGTTTGTGATGTGTGCCCTCTACTGACAGAGTTGAACCTTTCTTTTCATAGAGCAGTTTTGAAACACTCTTTTTGTAGAATCTGCAAGAGGATATTTGCATAGCTTTGAGGATTTCGTGGGAAACGGGATTGTCTTCAGGTAAAATCTAGACAGAAGCATTCTCAGAAACTTCTTTGGGATGTTTGCATTCAAGTCACAGAGTAGAACATTCCCTTTGGTAGAGCAGGTTTGAAACACTCTTTTTGTAGTATCTGGAAGTGGACATTTGGAGCGCTTTCAGGCCCATGTTGGAAAGGGAAATATCTTCCCGTAACAACTAGGCAGAAGCATTCTCAGAAACTTATTTGAGATGTGTGTACTCAACTAAGAGAATTGAACCACCGTTTTGAAGGAGCAGTTTTGAAACACTCTTTTTCTGGAATCTGCAAGAGTATATTTGCCTAGCCTTGAGGATTTCGTTGGAAACGGGATTGTCTTCAGAGAAAATCTAGACAGAAGCATTCTCAGAAACTTCTTTGGGATGTTTGCATTCAAGTCACAGAGTAGAACATTCCCTTTGGTAGAGCAGGTTTGAAACACTCTTTTTTTAGTATATGGAAGTGGACATTTGGAGCGCTTTCAGGCCTACGTTGGAAAAGGAAATATCTTCCCATAACAACTAGACAGAAGCATTCTCAGAAACTAGTTTCTGATGTGTGTCCTCAACTAACACAGTTGAACATTTCTTTAGACAGAACAGTTTTGAAACACTCTTTTTGTGGAATCTGCAAGTGGCTATTTGGCTAGATTTGAGGATTTCGTTGGAAACGGGATTACATATAAAAAGCAGTCAGCAGCATTCTCAGAAAGTTCTTTGTGATGATTGCATTCAAGTCACAGAATTGAACATTCCCTTTCACAGAGCAGGTTTGAAACACTCTTTTTGTAGTGTGTGTAAGTGGACATTTGGAGCACTTACCGGCCTAAGGTGAAAAAGGAAATATCTTCCCATAAAAACTGGACAGAAGCATTCTCAGAAACTTGTTTATGCTGTATCTACTCAACTAACAAAGTTGAACCTTTCTTTTGATAGAGCAGTTTTGAAATGGTCTTTTTGTGGAATCTGCAAGTGGATATTTGGCTAGTTTTGAGGATTTCGTTGGAAGCGGGAATTCATACAAATTGCAGACTGCAGCGTTCTGAGAAACATCTTTGTGATGTTTGTATTCAGGACACAGCAGTTGAACATTCCCTATCATAGAGCAGGTTGGAATCACTCCTTTTGTAGTATCTGGAAGTGGACATTTGGAGCGCTTTCAGGCCTATTTTGGAAAGGGAAATATCTTCCCGTAACAACTATGCAGAAGCATTCTCAGAAACTTGTTTGTGATGTGTGCCCTCTACTGACAGAGTTGAACCTTTCTTTTCATAGAGCAGTTTTGAAACACTCTTTTTGTAGAATCTGCAAGAGGATATTTGCATAGCTTTGAGGATTTCGTGGGAAACGGGATTGTCTTCAGGTAAAATCTAGACAGAAGCATTCTCAGAAACTTTTTTGGGATGTTTGCATTCAAGTCACAGAGTAGAACATTCCCTTTGGTAGAGCAGGTTTGAAACACTCTTTTTGTAGTATCTGGAAGTGGACATTTGGAGCACTATCAGGCCCATGTTGGAAAGGGAAATATCTTCCCGTAACAACTAGGCAGAAGCATTCTCAGAAACTTATTTGAGATGTGTGTACTCAACTAAGAGAATTGAACCACCGTTTTGAAGGAGCAGTTTTGAAACACTCTTTTTCTTGAATCTGCAAGAGGATATTTGCCTAGCCTTGAGGATTTCGTTGGAAACGGGATTGTCTTCAGATCAAATCTAGACAGAAGCATTCTCAGAAACTTCTTTGGGATGTTTGCATTCAAGTCACAGAGTAGAACATTCCCTTTGGTAGAGCAGGTTTGAAACACTCTTTTTTTAGTATATGGAAGTGGACATTTGGAGCGCTTTCAGGCCTACGTTGGAAAAGGAAATATCTTCCCATAACAACTAGACAGAAGCATTCTCAGAAACTAGTTTCTGATGTGTGTCCTCAACTAACACAGTTGAACATTTCTTTAGACAGAACAGTTTTGAAACACTCTTTTTGTGGAATCTGCAAGTGGCTATTTGGCTAGATTTGAGGATTTCGTTGGAAACGGGATTACATATAAAAAGCAGACAGCAGCATTCTCAGAAAGTTCTTTGTGATGGTTGCATACAAGTCACAGAATTGAACATTCCCTTTCACAGAGCAGGTTTGAAACACTCTTTTTGTAGTATGTGTAAGTGGACATTTGGAGCACTTTCCGGCCTAAGGTGAAAAAGGAAATATCTTCCCATAAAAACTAGACAGAAGCATTCTCAGAAACTTACTCGTGATGTGTGTCCTCAACTAAAGGAGTAGAACCTTTCTTTTCATAGAGAAGTTTTGAAACGCTCTTTTTGTGGAATCTGCAAGTGGATATTTGGCTAGTTTTGAGGATTTCGTTGGAAGCGGGAATTCATACAAATTGCAGACTGCAGCGTTCTGAGAAACATCTTTGTGATGTTTGTATTCAGGACACAGAGTTGAACATTCCCTATCATAGAGCAGGTTTGAATCACTCCTTTTGTAGTATCTGGAAGTGGACATTTGGAGCGCTTTCAGGCCTATGTTGGAAAAGGAAATATCTTCCCATAACAACTAGACAGAAGCATTCTCAGAAACTTATTTGAGATGTGTGTACTCAACTAAGAGAATTGAACCACCGTTTTGAAGGAGCAGTTTTGAAACACTCTTTTTCTGGAATCTGCAAGTGGATATTTGGCTAGCTTTGGGGATTTCGCTGGAAGCGGGAATACATATAAAAAGCACACAGCGGCGTTCTGAGAAACTGCTTTCTGATGTTTGCATTCAAGTCAAAAGTTGAACACTCCCTTTCATAGAGCAGTCCTGAAACACTCCTTTTGTAGTATCTGGAACTGGACTTTTGGAGCGCTTTCAGGGCTAAGGTGAAAAAGGAAATATCTTCCCATAAAAACTGGACAGAAGCATTCTCAGAAACTTGTTTATGCTGTATCTACTCAACTAACAAATTTGAACCTTTCTTTTGATAGAGCAGTTTTGAAATGCTCTTTTTGTGGAATCTGCAAGTGGATATTTGGCTAGTTTTGAGGATTTCGTTGGAAGCGGGAATTCATACAAATTGCAGACTGCAGCGTTCTGAGAAACATCTTTGTGGTGTTTGTATTCAGGACAGAGAGTTGAACATTCCCTATCATAGAGCAGGTTGGAATCACTCCTTTTGTAGTATCTGGAAGTGGACATTTGGAGCGCTTTCAGGCCTATGTTGAAAAAGGAAATATCTTCCCATAACAACTAGACACAAGCATTCTCAGAAACTTATTTGAGATGTGTGTACTCAACTAAGAGAATTGAACCACCGTTTTGAAGGAGCAGTTTTGAAACACTCTTTTTCTGGAATCTGCAAGTGGATATTTGGCTAGCTTTGGGGATTTCGCTGGAAGCGGGAATACATATAAAAAGCACACAGCAGCGTTCTGAGAAACTGCTTTCTGATGTTTGCATTCAAGTCAAAAGTTGAACACTCCCTTTCATAGAGCAGTCTTGAAACACCCCTTTTGTAGTATCTGGAACTGGACTTTTGGAGCGATTTCAGGGCTAAGGTGAAAAAGGAAATATCTTCCCATAAAAACTGGACAGAAGCATTCTCAGAAACTTGGTTATGCTGTATCTACTCAACTAACAAAGTTGAACCTTTCTTTTGATAGAGCAGTTTTGAAATGGTCTTTTTGTGGAATCTGCAAGTGGATATTTGGCTAGTTTTGAGGATTTCGTTGGAAGCGGGAATTCATACAAATTGCAGACTGCAGCGTTCTGAGAAACATCTTTGTGATGTTTGTATTCAGGACACAGAGTTGAACATTCCCTATCATAGAGCAGGTTGGAATCACTCCTTTTGTAGTATCTGGAAGTGGACATTTGGAGCGCTTTCAGGCCTATTTTGGAAAGGGAAATATCTTCCCGTAACAACTATGCAGAAGCATTCTCAGAAACTTGTTTGTGATGTGTGCCCTCTACTGACAGAGTTGAACCTTTCTTTTCATAGAGCAGTTTTGAAACACTCTTTTTGTAGAATCTGCAAGAGGATATTTGCATAGCTTTGAGGATTTCGTGGGAAACGGGATTGTCTTCAGGTAAAATCTAGACAGAAGCATTCTCAGAAACTTCTTTGGGATGTTTGCATTCAAGTCACAGAGTAGAACATTCCCTTTGGTAGAGCAGGTTTGAAACACTCTTTTTGTAGTATCTGGAAGTGGACATTTGGAGCGCTTTCAGGCCCATGTTGGAAAGGGAAATATCTTCCCGTAACAACTAGGCAGAAGCATTCTCAGAAACTTATTTGAGATGTGTGTACTCAACTAAGAGAAATGAACCACCGTTTTGAAGGAGCAGTTTTGAAACACTCTTTTTCTGGAATCTGCAAGAGTATATTTGCCTAGCCTTGAGGATTTCGTTGGAAACGGGATTGTCTTCAGATCAAATCTAGACAGAAGTATTCTCAGAAACTTCTTTGGGATGTTTGCATTCAAGTCACAGAGTAGAACATTCCCTTTGGTAGAGCAGGTTTGAAACACTCTTTTTGTAGTATCTGGAAGTGGACATTTGGAGCGCTTTCAGGCCTACGTTGGAAAAGGAAATATCTTCCCATAACAACTAGACAGAAGCATTCTCAGAAACTAGTTTCTGATGTGTGTCCTCAACTAACACAGTTGAACATTTCTTTAGACAGAACAGTTTTGAAACACTCTTTTTGTGGAATCTGCAAGTGGCTATTTGGCTAGATTTGAGGATTTCGTTGGAAACGGGATTACATATAAAAAGCAGTCAGCAGCATTCTCAGAAAGTTCTTTGTGATGATTGCATTCAAGTCACAGAATTGAACATTCCCTTTCACAGAGCAGGTTTGAAACACTCTTTTTGTAGTGTGTGTAAGTGGACATTTGGAGCACTTACCGGCCTAAGGTGAAAAAGGAAATATCTTCCCATAAAAACTAGACAGAAGCATTCTCAGAAACTTACTCGTGATGTGTGTCCTCAACTAAAGGAGTAGAACCTTTCTTTTCATAGAGAAGTTTTGAAACGCTCTTTTTGTGGAATCTGCAAGTGGATATTTGGCTAGTTTTGAGGATTTCGTTGGAAGCGGGAATTCATACAAATTGCAGACTGCAGCGTTCTGAGAAACATCTTTGTGATGTTTGTATTCAGGACACAGAGTTGAACATTCCCTATCATAGAGCAGGTTGGAATCACTCCTTTTGTAGTATCTGGAAGTGGACATTTGGAGCGCTTTCAGGCCTATGTTGGAAAAGGAAATATCTTCCCATAACAACTAGACAGAAGCATTCTCAGAAACTTATTTGAGATGTGTGTACTCAACTAAGAGAATTGAACCACCGTTTTGAAGGAGCAGTTTTGAAACACTCTTTTTCTGGAATCTGCAAGTGGATATTTGGCTAGCTTTGGGGATTTCGCTGGAAGCGGGAATACATATAAAAAGCACACAGCAGCGTTCTGAGAAACTGCTTTCTGATGTTTGCATTCAAGTCAAAAGTTGAACACTCCCTTTCATAGTGCAGTCCTGAAACACTCCTTTTGTAGTATCTGGAACTGGACTTTTGGAGCGCTTTCAGGGCTAAGGTGAAAAAGGAAATATCTTCCCATAAAAACTGGACAGAAGCATTCTCAGAAACTTGTTTATGCTGTATCTACTCAACTAACAAAGTTGAACCTTTCTTTTGATAGAGCAGTTTTGAAATGCTCTTTTTGTGGAATCTGCAAGGGGATATTTGGCTAGTTTTGAGGATTTCGCTGGAAGCGGGAATTCATACAAATTGCAGACTGCAGCGTTCTGAGAAACATCTTTGTGATGTTTGTATTCAGGACAGAGAGTTGAACATTCCCTATCATAGAGCAGGTTGGAATCACTCCTTTTGTAGTATCTGGAAGTGGACATTTGGAGCGCTTTCAGGCCTATGTTGAAAAAGGAAATATCTTCCCATAACAACTAGACACAAGCATTCTCAGAAACTTGTTTGTGATGTGTGCCCTCTACTGACAGAGTTGAACCTTTCTTTTCATAGAGCAGTTTTGAAACACTCTTTTTGTAGAATCTGCAAGAGGATATTAGCATAGCTTTGAGGATTTCGTGGGAAACGGGATTGTCTTCAGGTAAAATCTAGACAGAAGCATTCTCAGAAACTTCTTTGGGATGTTTGCATTCAAGTCACAGAGTAGAACATTCCCTTTGGTAGAGCAGGTTTGAAACACTCTTTTTGTAGTATCTGGAAGTGGACATTTGGAGCGCTTTCAGGCCTATGTTGGAAAGGGAAATATCTTCCCGTAACAACTAGGCAGAAGCATTCTCAGAAACTTATTTGAGATGTGTGTACTCAAGTAAGAGAATTGAACCACCGTTTTGAAGGAGCAGTTTTGAAACACTCTTTTTCTGGAATCTGCAAGAGGATATTTGCCTAGCCTTGATGATTTCGTTGGAAACGGGATTGTCTTCAGATCAAATCTAGACAGAAGCATTCTCAGAAACTTCTTTGGGATGTTTGCATTCAAGTCACAGAGTAGAACATTCCCTTTGGTAGAGCAGGTTTGAAACACTCTTTTTTTAGTATATGGAAGTGGACATTTGGAGCGCTTTCAGGCCTACGTTGGAAAAGGAAATATCTTCCCATAACAACTAGACAGAAGCATTCTCAGAAACTAGTTTCTGATGTGTGTCCTCAACTAACACAGTTGAACATTTCTTTAGACAGAACAGTTTTGAAACACTCTTTTTGTGGAATCTGCAAGTGGCTATTTGGCTAGATTTGAGGATTTCGTTGGAAACGGGATTACATATAAAAAGCAGACAGCAGCATTCTCAGAAAGTTCTTTGTGATGATTGCATTCAAGTCACAGAATTGAACATTCCCTTTCACAGAGCAGGTTTGAAACACTCTTTTTGTAGTGTGTGTAAGTGGACATTTGGAGCACTTTCCGGCCTAAGGTGAAAAAGGAAATATCTTCCCATAAAAACTAGACAGAAGTATTCTCAGAAACTTACTCGTGATGTGTGTCCTCAACTAAAGGAGTAGAACCTTTCTTTTCATAGAGAAGTTTTGAAACGCTCTTTTTGTGGAATCTGCAAGTGGATATTTGGCTAGTTTTGAGGATTTCGTTGGAAGCGGGAATTCATACAAATTGCAGACTGCAGCGTTCTGAGAAACATCTTTGTGATGTTTGTATTCAGGACACAGAGTTGAACATTCCCTATCATAGAGCAGGTTTGAATCACTCCTTTTCTAGTATCTGGAAGTGGACATTTGGAGCGCTTTCAGGCCTATGTTGGAAAAGGAAATATCTTCCCATAACAAATAGACAGAAGCATTCTCAGAAACTTATTTGAGATGTGTGTACTCAACTAAGAGAATTGAACCACCGTTTTGAAGGAGCAGTTTTGAAACACTCTTTTTCTGGAATCTGCCAGTGGATATCTGGCTAGCTTTGGGGATTTCGCTGGAAGCGGGAATACATATAAAAAGCACACAGCAGCGTTCTGAGAAACTTCTTTCTGATGTTCGCATTCAAGTCAAAAGTTGAACACTCCCTTTCATAGAGCAGTCTTGAAACTCCCCTTTTGTGGTATCTGGAAGTGGACATTTGGAGTGCTTTCAGGGCTAAGGTGAAAAAGGAAATATCTTCCCATAAAAACTGGACAGAAGCATTCTCAGAAACTTGTTTATGCTGTATCTACTCAGCTAACAAAGTTGAACCTTTCTTTTGATAGAGCAGTTTTGAAATGCTCTTTTTGTGGAGTCTGCAAGTGGATATTTGGTTAGTTTTGAGGAATTCGTTGGAAGCGGGAATTCATACAAATTGCAGACTGCAGCGTTCTGAGAAACATCTTTGTGATGTTTGTATTCAGGACACAGAGTTGAACATTCCCTATCATAGAGCAGGTTGGAATCACTCCTTTTGTAGTATCTGGAAGTGGACATTTGGAGCGCTTTCAGGCCTATGTTGAAAAAGGAAATATCTTCCCATAACAACTAGACACAAGCATTCTCAGAAACTTGTTTGTGATGTGTGCCCTCTACTGACAGAGTTGAACCTTTCTTTTCATAGAGCAGTTTCGAAACACTCTTTTTGTAGAATCTGCAAGAGGATATTTGCATAGCTTTGAGGATTTCGTGGGAAACGAGATTGTCTTCAGGTAAAATCTAGACAGAAGCATTCTCAGAAAGTTCTTCGGGATGTTTGCATTCAAGTCACAGAGTAGAACATTCCCTTTGTTAGAGCACGTTTGAAACACTCTTTTTGTAGTATCTGGAAGTGGACATTTGGAGCGCTTTCAGGCCTATGTTGGAAAGGGAAATATCTTCCCGTAACAACTAGGCAGAAGCATTCTCAGAAACTTATTTGAGATGTGTGTACTCAACTAAGAGAATTGAACCACCGTTTTGAAGGAGCAGTTTTGAAACACTCTTTTTCTGGAATCTGCAAGAGGATATTTGCATAGATTTGAGGATTTCGTTGGAAACGGGATTGTCTTCAGTTGAAATCTAGACAGAAGCATTCTCAGAAACTTCTTTGGGATGTTTGCATTCAAGTCACAGAGTAGAACATTCCCTTTGGTAGAGCAGGTTTGAAACACTCTTTTTTTAGTATATGGAAGTGGACATTTGGAGCGCTTTCAGGCCTACGTTGGAAAAGGAAATATCTTCCCATAACAAATAGACAGAAGCATTCTCAGAAACTAGTTTCTGATGTGTGTCCTCAACTAACACAGTTGAACATTTCTTTAGACAGAACAGTTTTGAAACACTCTCTTTGTGGAATCTGCAAGTGGATATTTGGCTAGATTTGAGGATTTCGTTGGAAACGGGATTACATATAAAAAGCAGACAGCAGCATTCTCAGAAACTTCTTTGTGATGATTGCATTCAAGTCACAGAATTGAACATTCCCTTTCACAGAGCAGGTTTGAAACACTCTTTTTGTAGTGTGTGTAAGTGGACATTTGGAGCGCTTTCCGGCCTAAGGTGAACAAGGAAATATCTTCCCATAAAAACTAGACAGAAGCATTCTCAGAAACTTACTCGTGATGTGTGTCCTCAACTAAAGGAGTAGAACCTTTCTTTTCATAGAGAAGTTTTGAAACGCTCTTTTTGTGGAATCTGCAAGTGGATATTTGGCTAGTTTTGAGGATTTCGTTGGAAGCGGGAATTCATACAAATTGCAGACTGCAGCGTTCTGAGAAACATCTTTGTGATGTTTGTATTCAGGACACAGAGTTGAACATTCCCTATCATAGAGCAGGTTGGAATCACTCCTTTTGTAGTATCTGGAAGTGGACATTTGGAGCGCTTTCAGGCCTATGTTGGAAAAGGAAATATCTTCCCATAACAACTAGACAGAAGCATTCTCAGAAACTTATTTGAGATGTGTGTACTCAACTAAGAGAATTGAACCACCGTTTTGAAGGAGCAGTTTTGAAACTCTCTTTTTCTGGAATCTGCAAGTGGATATTTGGCTAGCTTTGGGGATTTCGCTGGAAGCGGGAATACATATAAAAAGCACACAGCAGCGTTCTGAGAAACTGCTTTCTGATGTTTGCATTCAAGTCAAAAGTTGAACACTCCCTTTCATAGAGCAGTCTTGAAACACCCCTTTTGTAGTATCTGGAACTGGACTTTTGGAGCGATTTCAGGGCTAAGGTGAAAAAGGAAATATCTTCCCATAAAAACTGGACAGAAGCATTCTCAGAAACTTGTTTATGCTGTATCTACTCAACTAACAAAGTTGAACCTTTCTTTTGATAGAGCAGTTTTGAAATGGTCTTTTTGTGGAATCTGCAAGTGGATATTTGGCTAGTTTTGAGGATTTCGTTGGAAGCGGGAATTCATACAAATTGCAGACTGCAGCGTTCTGAGAAACATCTTTGTGATGTTTGTATTCAGGACACAGAGTTGAACATTCCCTATCATAGAGCAGGTTGGAATCACTCCTTTTGTAGTATCTGGAAGTGGACATTTGGAGCGCTTTCAGGCCTATTTTGGAAAGGGAAATATCTTCCCGTAACAACTATGCAGAAGCATTCTCAGAAACTTGTTTGTGATGTGTGCCCTCTACTGACAGAGTTGAACCTTTCTTTTCATAGAGCAGTTTTGAAACACTCTTTTTGTAGAATCTGCAAGAGGATATTTGCATAGCTTTGAGGATTTCGTGGGAAACGGGATTGTCTTCAGGTAAAATCTAGACAGAAGCATTCTCAGAAACTTCTTTGGGATGTTTGCATTCAAGTCACAGAGTAGAACATTCCCTTTGGTAGAGCAGGTTTGAAACACTCTTTTTGTAGTATCTGGAAGTGGACATTTGGAGCGCTTTCAGGCCCATGTTGGAAAGGGAAATATCTTCCCGTAACAACTAGGCAGAAGCATTCTCAGAAACTTATTTGAGATGTGTGTACTCAACTAAGAGAATTGAACCACCGTTTTGAAGGAGCAGTTTTGAAACACTCTTTTTCTGGAATCTGCAAGAGTATATTTGCCTAGCCTTGAGGATTTCGTTGGAAACGGGATTGTCTTCAGAGAAAATCTAGACAGAAGCATTCTCAGAAACTTCTTTGGGATGTTTGCATTCAAGTCACAGAGTAGAACATTCCCTTTGGTAGAGCAGGTTTGAAACACTCTTTTTGTAGTATCTGGAAGTGGACATTTGGAGCGCTTTCAGGCCTACGTTGGAAAAGGAAATATCTTCCCATAACAACTAGACAGAAGCATTCTCAGAAACTAGTTTCTGATGTGTGTCCTCAACTAACACAGTTGAACATTTCTTTAGACAGAACAGTTTTGAAACACTCTTTTTGTGGAATCTGCAAGTGGCTATTTGGCTAGATTTGAGGATTTCGTTGGAAACGGGATTACATATAAAAAGCAGTCAGCAGCATTCTCAGAAAGTTCTTTGTGATGATTGCATTCAAGTCACAGAATTGAACATTCCCTTTCACAGAGCAGGTTTGAAACACTCTTTTTGTAGTGTGTGTAAGTGGACATTTGGAGCACTTACCGGCCTAAGGTGAAAAAGGAAATATCTTCCCATAAAAACTAATAGAAGCATTCTCAGAAACTTACTCGTGATGTGTGTCCTCAACTAAAGGAGTAGAACCTTTCTTTTCATAGAGAAGTTTTGAAACGCTCTTTTTGTGGAATCTGCAAGTGGATATTTGGCTAGTTTTGAGGATTTCGTTGGAAGCGGGAATTCATACAAATTGCAGACTGCAGCGTTCTGAGAAACATCTTTGTGATGTTTGTATTCAGGACACAGAGTTGAACATTCCCTATCATAGAGCAGGTTGGAATCACTCCTTTTGTAGTATCTGGAAGTGGACATTTGGAGCGCTTTCAGGCCTATGTTGGAAAAGGAAATATCTTCCCATAACAACTAGACAGAAGCATTCTCAGAAACTTATTTGAGATGTGTGTACTCAACTAAGAGAATTGAACCACCGTTTTGAAGGAGCAGTTTTGAAACTCTCTTTTTCTGGAATCTGCAAGTGGATATTTGGCTAGCTTTGGGGATTTCGCTGGAAGCGGGAATACATATAAAAAGCACACAGCAGCGTTCTGAGAAACTGCTTTCTGATGTTTGCATTCAAGTCAAAAGTTGAACACTCCCTTTCATAGAGCAGTCTTGAAACACCCCTTTTGTAGTATCTGGAACTGGACTTTTGGAGCGATTTCAGGGCTAAGGTGAAAAAGGAAATATCTTCCCATAAAAACTGGACAGAAAGCATTCTCAGAAACTTGTTTATGCTGTATCTACTCAACTAACAAAGTTGAACCTTTCTTTTGATAGAGCAGTTTTGAAATGCTCTTTTTGTGGAATCTGCAAGTGGATATTTGGCTAGTTTTGAGGATTTCGTTGGAAGCTGGAATTCATACAAATTGCAGACTGAGCGTTCTGAGAAACATCTTTGTGATGTTTGTATTCAGGACACAGAGTTGAACATTCCCTATCATAGAGCAGGTTGGAATCACTCCTTTTGTAGTATCTGGAAGTGGACATTTGGAGCGCTTTCAGGCCTATGTTGAAAAAGGAAATATCTTCCCATAACAACTAGACACAAGCATTCTCAGAAACTTGTTTGTGATGTGTGCCCTCTACTGACAGAGTTGAACCTTTCTTTTCATAGAGCAGTTTTGAAACACTCTTTTTGTAGAATCTGCAAGAGGATATTTGCATAGCTTTGAGGATTTCGTGGGAAACGGGATTGTCTTCAGGTAAAATCTAGACAGAAGCATTCTCAGAAACTTCTTTGGGATGTTTGCATTCAAGTCACAGAGTAGAACATTCCCTTTGGTAGAGCAGGTTTGCAACACTCTTTTTGTAGTATCTGGAAGTGGACATTTGGAGCGCTTTCAGGCCTATGTTGGAAAGGGAAATATCTTCCAGTAACAACTAGGCAGAAGCATTCTCAGAAACTTATTTGAGATGTGTGTACTCAACTAAGAGAATTGAACCACCGTTTTGAAGGAGCAGTTTTGAAACACTCTTTTTCTGGAATCTGCAAGAGTATATTTGCCTAGCCTTGAGGATTTCGTTGGAAACGGGATTGTCTTCAGATAAAATCTAGACAGAAGCATTCTCAGAAACTTCTTTGGGATGTTTGCATTCAAGTCACAGAGTAGAACATTCCCTTTGGTAGAGCAGGTTTGAAACACTCTTTTTTTAGTATATGGAAGTGGACATTTGGAGCGCTTTCAGGCCTACGTTGGAAAAGGAAATATCTTCCCATAACAACTAGACAGAAGCATTCTCAGAAACTAGTTTCTGATGTGTGTCCTCAACTAACACAGTTGTACATTTCCTTAGACAGAACAGTTTTGAAACACTCTTTTTGTGGAATCTGCAAGTGGATATTGGGCTAGATTTGAGGATTTCGTTGGAAACGGGATTACATATAAAAAGCAGTCAGCAGCATTCTCAGAAAGTTCTTTGTGATGATTGCATTCAAGTCACAGAATTGAACATTCCCTTTCACAGAGCAGGTTTGAAACACTCTTTTTGTAGTGTGTGTAAGTGGACATTTGGAGCGCTTTCCGGCCTAAGGTGAAAAAGGACATATCTTCCCATAAAAACTAGACAGAAGCATTCTCAGAAACTTACTCGTGATGTGTGTCCTCAACTAAAGGAGTAGAACCTTTCTATTCATAGAGAAGTTTTGAAACGCTCTTTTTGTGGAATCTCCAAGTGGATATTTGGTTAGTTTTGAGGATTTCGTTGGAAGCGGGAATTCATACAAATTGCAGACTGCAGCGTTCTGAGAAACATCTTTGTGATGTTTGTATTCAGGACACAGAGTTGAACATTCCCTATCATAGAGCAGGTTGGAATCACTCCTTTTGTAGTATCTGGAAGTGGACATTTGGAGCGCTTTCAGGCCTATTTTGGAAAGGGAAATATCTTCCCGTAACAACTATGCAGAAGCATTCTCAGAAACTTGTTTGTGATGTGTGCCCTCTACTGACAGAGTTGAACCTTTCTTTTCATAGAGCAGTTTTGAAACACTCTTTTTGTAGAATCTGCAAGAGGATATTTGCATAGCTTTGAGGATTTCGTGGGAAACGGGATTGTCTTCAGGTAAAATCTAGACAGAAGCATTCTCAGAAACTTCTTTGGGATGTTTGCATTCAAGTCACAGAGTAGAACATTCCCTTTGGTAGAGCAGGTTTGAAACACTCTTTTTGTAGTATCTGGAAGTGGACATTTGGAGCGCTTTCAGGCCTATGTTGGAAAGGGAAATATCTTCCCGTAACAACTAGGCAGAAGCATTCTCAGAAACTTATTTGAGATGTGTGTACTCAACTAAGAGAATTGAACCACCGTTTTGAAGGAGCAGTTTTGAAACACTCTTTTTCTGGAATCTGCAAGAGGATATTTGCCTACCCTTGAGGATTTCGTTGGAAACGGGATTGTCTTCAGATCAAATCTAGACAGAAGCATTCTCAGAAACTTCTTTGGGATGTTTGCATTCAAGTCACAGAGTAGAACATTCCCTTTGGTAGAGCAGGTTTGAAACACTCTTTTTTTAGTATATGGAAGTGGACATTTGGAGTGCTTTCAGGCCTACGTTGGAAAAGGAAATATCTTCCCATAACAACTAGACAGAAGCATTCTCAGAAACTAGTTTCTGATGTGTGTCCTCAACTAACACAGTTGAACATTTCTTTAGACAGAACAGTTTTGAAACTCTCTTTTTGTGGAATCTGCAAGTGGCTATTTGGCTAGATTTGAGGATTTCGTTGGAAACGGGATTACATATAAAAAGCAGACAGCAGCATTCTCAGAAAGTTCTTTGTGATGATTGCATTCAAGTCACAGAATTGAACATTCCCTTTCACAGAGCAGGTTTGAAACACTCTTTTTATAGTGTGTGTAAGTGGACATTTGGAACACTTTCCGGCCTAAGGTGAAAAAGGAAATATCTTCCCATAAAAACTAGACAGAAGCATTCTCAGAAACTTACTCGTGATGTGTGCCCTCAACTAAAGGAGTAGAACCTTTCTATTCATAGAGAAGTTTTGAAACGCTCTTTTTGTGGAATCTCCAAGTGGATATTTGGGTAGTTTTGAGGATTTCCGTTGGAAGCGGGAATTCATACAAATTGCAGACTGCAGCATTCTCCTAAACTTGTTTATGCTGTATCTACTCAACTAACAAAGTTGAACCTTTCTTTTGATAGAGCAGTTTTGAAATGCTCTTTTTGTGGAATCTGCAAGTGGATATTTGGCTAGTTTTGAGGATTTCGTTGGAAGCGGGAATTCATACAAATTGCAGACTGCAGCATTCTCAGAAACTTATTTGAGATGTGTGTACTCAACTAAGAGAATTGAACCACCGTTTTGAAGGAGCAGTTTTGAAACACTCTTTTTCTGGAATCTGCAAGTGGATATTTGGCTAGCTTTGGGGATTTCGCTGGAGGCGGGAATACATATAAAAAGCACACAGCAGCGTTCTGAGAAACTGCTTTCTGATGTTTGCATTCAAGTCAAAAGTTGAACACTCCCTTTCATAGAGCAGTCCTGAAACACTCCTTTTGTAGTATCTGGAACTGGACTTTTGGAGCGCTTTCAGGGCTAAGGTGAAAAAGGAAATATCTTCCCATAAAAACTGGACAGAAGCATTCTCAGAAACTTTTTTATGCTGTATCTACTCAACTAACAAAGTTGAACCTTTCTTTTGATAGAGCAGTTTTGAAATGCTCTTTTTGTGGAATCTGCAAGTGGATATTTGGCTAGTTTTGAGGATTTCGTTGGAAGCGGGAATTCATACAAATTGCAGACTGCAGCGTTCTGAGAAACATCTTTGTGATGTTTGTATTCAGGACAGAGAGTTGAACATTCCCTATCATAGAGCAGGTTGGAATCACTCCTTTTGTAGTATCTGGAAGTGGACATTTGGAGCGCTTTCAGGCCTATGTTGAAAAAGGAAATATCTTCCCATAACAACTAGACACAAGCATTCTCAGAAACTTGTTTGTGATGTGTGCCCTCTACTGACAGAGTTGAACCTTTCTTTTCATAGAGCAGTTTTGAAACACTCTTTTTGTAGAATCCGCAAGAGGATATTTGCATAGCTTTGAGGATTTCGTGGGAAACGGGATTGTCTTCAGGTAAAATCTAGAAAGAAGCATTCTCAGAAACTTCTTTGGGATGTTTGCATTCAAGTCACAGAGTAGAACATTCCCTTTGGTAGAGCAGGTTTGAAACACTCTTTTTGTAGTATCTGGAAGTGGACATTTGGAGCGCTTTCAGGCCTATGTTGGAAAGGGAAATATCTTCCCGTAACAACTAGGCAGAAGCATTCTCAGAAACTTATTTGAGATGTGTGTACTCAACTAAGAGAATTGAACCACCGTTTTGAAGGAGCAGTTTTGAAACACTCTTTTTCTGGAATCTGCAAGAGTATATTTGCCTAGCCTTGAGGATTTCGTTGGAAACGGGATTGTCTTCAGAGAAAATCTAGACAGAAGCATTCTCAGAAACTTCTTTGGGATGTTTGCATTCAAGTCACAGAGTAGAACATTCCCTTTGGTAGAGCAGGTTTGAAACACTCTTTTTTTAGTATATGGAAGTGGACATTTGGAGCGCTTTCAGGCCTACGTTGGAAAAGGAAATATCTTCCCATAACAACTAGACAGAAGCATTCTCAGAAACTAGTTTCTGATGTGTGTCCTCAACTAACACAGTTGAACTTTTCTTTAGACAGAACAGTTTTGAAACACTCTTTTTGTGGAATCTGCAAGTGGATATTGGGCTAGATTTGAGGATTTCGTTGGAAACGGGATTACATATAAAAAGCAGACAGCAGCATTCTCAGAAAGTTCTTTGTGATGATTGCATTCAAGTCACAGAATTGAACATTCCCTTTCACAGAGCAGGTTTGAAACACTCTTTTTGTAGTGTGTGTAAGTGGACATTTGGAGCGCTTTCCGGCCTAAGGTGAAAAAGGAAATATCTTCCCATAAAAACTAGACAGAAGCATTCTCAGAAACTTACTCGTGATGTGTGTCCTCAACTAAAGGAGTAGAACCTTTCTATTCATAGAGAAGTTTTGAAACGCTCTTTTTGTGGAATCTCCAAGTGGATATTTGGCTAGTTTTGAGGATTTCGTTGGAAGCGGGAATTCATACAAATTGCAGACTGCAGCGTTCTGAGAAACATCTTTGTGATGTTTGTATTCAGGACACAGAGATGAACATTCCCTATCATAGAGCAGGTTGGAATCACTCCTTTTGTAGTATCTGGAAGTGGACATTTGGAGCGCTTTCAGGCCTATGTTGAAAAAGGAAATATCTTCCCATAACAACTAGACACAAGCATTCTCAGAAAGTTGTTTGTGATGTGTGCCCTCTACTGACAGAGTTGAACCTTTCTTTTCATAGAGCAGTTTTGAAACACTCTTTTTGTAGAATCCGCAAGAGGATATTTGCATAGCTTTGAGGATTTCGTGGGAAACGGGATTGTCTTCAGGTAAAATCTAGACAGAAGCATTCTCAGAAACTTCTTTGGGATGTTTGCATTCAAGTCACAGAGTAGAACATTCCCTTTGGTAGAGCAGGTTTGAAACACTCTTTTTGTAGTATCTGGAAGTGGACATTTGGAGCGCTTTCAGGCCCATGTTGGAAAGGGAAATATCTTCCCGTAACAACTAGGCAGAAGCATTCTCAGAAACTTTTTTGAGATGTGTGTACTCAACTAAGAGAATTGAACCACCGTTTTGAAGGAGCAGTTTTGAAACACTCTTTTTCTGGAATCTGCAAGAGTATATTTGCCTAGCCTTGAGGATTTCGTTGGAAACGGGATTGTCTTCAGATAAAATCTAGACAGAAGCATTCTCAGAAACTTCTTTGGGATGTTTGCATTCAAGTCACAGAGTAGAACATTCCCTTTGGTAGAGCAGGTTTGAAACACTCTTTTTTTAGTATATGGAAGTGGACATTTGGAGCGCTTTCAGGCCTACGTTGGAAAAGGAAATATCTTCCCATAACAACTAGACAGAAGCATTCTCAGAAACTAGTTTCTGATGTGTGTCCTCAACTAACACAGTTGAACATTTCTTTAGACAGAACAGTTTTGAAACACTCTTTTTGTGGAATCTGCAAGTGGCTATTTGGCTAGATTTGAGGATTTCGTTGGAAACGGGATTACATATAAAAAGCAGACAGCAGCATTCTCAGAAAGTTCTTTGTGATGATTGCATTCAAGTCACAGAATTGAACATTCCCTTTCACAGAGCAGGTTTGAAACACTCTTTTTGTAGTGTGTGTAAGTGGACATTTGGAGCACTTTCCGGCCTAAGGTGAAAAAGGAAATATCTTCCCATAAAAACTAGACAGAAGCATTCTCAGAAACTTACTCGTGATGTGTGTCCTCAACTAAAGGAGTAGAACCTTTCTTTTCATAGAGAAGTTTTGAAACGCTCTTTTTGTGGAATCTGCAAGTGGATATTTGGCTAGTTTGGAGGATTTCGTTGGAAGCGGGAATTCATACAAATTGCAGACTGCAGCGTTCTGAGAAACATCTTTGTGATGTTTGTATTCAGGACACAGAGTTGAACATTCCCTATCATAGAGCAGGTTGGAATCACTCCTTTTGTAGTATCTGGAAGTGGACATTTGGAGCGCTTTCAGGCCTATGTTGGAAAAGGAAATATCTTCCCATAACAACTAGACAGAAGCATTCTCAGAAACTTATTTGAGATGTGTGTACTCAACTAAGAGAATTGAACCACCGTTTTGAAGGAGCAGTTTTGAAACACTCTTTTTCTGGAATCTGCAAGTGGATATTTGGCTAGCTTTGGGGACTTCGCTGGAGGCGGGAATACATATAAAAAGCACACAGCAGCGTTCTGAGAAACTGCTTTCTGATGTTTGCATTCAAGTCAAAAGTTGAACACTCCCTTTCATAGAGCAGTCCTGAAACACTCCTTTTGTAGTATCTGGAACTGGACTTTTGGAGCGCTTTCAGGGCTAAGGTGAAAAAGGAAATATCTTCCCATAAAAACTGGACAGAAGCATTCTCAGAAACTTGTTTATGCTGTATCTACTCAACTAACAAATTTGAACCTTTCTTTTGATAGAGCAGTTTTGAAATGCTCTTTTTGTGGAATCTGCAAGTGGATATTTGGCTAGTTTTGAGGATTTCGTTGGAAGCGGGAATTCATACAAATTGCAGACTGCAGCGTTCTGAGAAACTGCTTTCTGATGTTTGCATTCAAGACAAAAGTTGAACACTCCCTTTCATAGAGCAGTCTTGAAACACCCCTTTTGTAGTATCTGGAACTGGACATTTGGAGCGCTTTCAGGGCTAAGGTGAAAAAGGAAATATCTTCCCATAAAAACTGGACAGAAGCATTCTCAGAAACTTATTTGAGATGTGTGTACTCAACTAAGAGAATTGAACCACCGTTTTGAAGGAGCAGTTTTGAAACACTCTTTTTCTGGAATCTGCAAGTGGATATTTGGCTAGCTTTGGGGATTTCGCTGGAAGTGGGAATACATATAAAAAGCACACAGCAGCGTTCTGAGAAACTGCTTTCTGATGTTTGCATTCAAGTCAAAAGTTGAACACTCCTTTTCATAGAGCAGTCTTGAAATACCCCTTTTGTAGTATCTGGAACTGGACATTTGGAGCGCTTTCAGGGCTAAGGTGAAAAAGGAAATATCTTCCCATAAAAACTGGACAGAAGCATTCTCAGAAACTTGTTTATGCTGTATCTACTCAACTAACAAAGTTGAACCTTTCTTTTGATAGAGCAGTTTTGAAATGCTCTTTTTGTGGAATCTGCAAGTGGATATTTGGCTAGGTTTGAGGATTTCGTTGGAAGCGGGAATTCATACAAATTGCAGACTGCAGCGTTCTGAGAAACATCTTTGTGATGTTTGTATTCAGGACACAGAGTTGAACATTCCCTATCATAGAGCAGGTTGGAATCACTCCTTTTGTACTATCTGGAAGTGGACATTTGGAGCGCTTTCAGGCCTATGTTGAAAAAGGAAATATCTTCCCATAACAACTAGGCAGAAAGCATTCTCAGTAAACTTATTTGAGATGTGTGTACTCAACTAAGAGAATTGAACCACCGTTTTGAAGGAGCAGTTTTGAAACTCTCTTTTTCTGGAATCTGCAAGTGGATATTTGGCTAGCTTTGGGGATTTCGCTGGAAGCGGGAATACATATAAAAAGCACACAGCAGCGTTCTGAGAAACTGCTTTCTGATGTTTGCATTCAAGTCAAAAGTTGAACACTCCCTTTCATAGAGCAGTCTTGAAACACCCCTTTTGTAGTATCTGGAACTGGACTTTTGGAGCGATTTCAGGGCTAAGGTGAAAAAGGAAATATCTTCCCATAAAAACTGGACAGAAGCATTCTCAGAAACTTGGTTATGCTGTATCTACTCAACTAACAAAGTTGAACCTTTCTTTTGATAGAGCAGTTTTGAAATGGTCTTTTTGTGGAATCTGCAAGTGGATATTTGGCTAGTTTTGAGGATTTCGTTGGAAGCGGGAATTCATACAAATTGCAGACTGCAGCGTTCTGAGAAACATCTTTGTGATGTTTGTATTCAGGACACAGAGTTGAACATTCCCTATCATAGAGCAGGTTGGAATCACTCCTTTTGTAGTATCTGGAAGTGGACATTTGGAGCGCTTTCAGGCCTATTTTGGAAAGGGAAATATCTTCCCGGTAACAACTATGCAGAAGCATTCTCAGAAACTTGTTTGTGATGTGTGCCCTCTACTGACACAGTTGATCCTTTCTTTTCATAGAGCAGTTTCGAAACACTCTTTTTGTAGAATCTGCAAGAGGATATTTGCCTAGCTTTGAGGATTTCGTGGGAAACGGCATTGTCTTCAGGTAAAATCTAGACAGAAGCATTCTCAGAAACTTCTTTGGGATGTTTGCATTCAAGTCACAAAGTAGAACATTCCCTTTGGTAGAGCAGGTTTGAAACACTCTTTTTGTAGTGTGTGTAAGTGGACATTTGGAGCGCTTTCAGGCCTACGTTGGAAAAGGAAATATCTTCCCATAACAACTAGACAGCAGCATTCTCAGAAACTAGTTTCTGATGTGTGTCCTCAACTAACACAGTTGAACATTTCTTTAGACAGAACAGTTTTGAAACACTCTTTTTGTGGAATCTGCAAGTGGATATTTGGCTAGATTTGAGGATTTCGTTGGAAACGGGATTACATATAAAAAGCAGACAGCAGCATTCTCAGAAACTTCTTTGTGATGATTGCATTCAAGTCACAGAATTGAACATTCCCTTTCACAGAGCAGGTTTGAAACACTCTTTTTGTAGTGTGTGTAAGTGGACATTTGGAGCGCTTTCCGGCCTAAGGTGAACAAGGAAATATCTTCCCATAAAAACTAGACAGAAGCATTCTCAGAAACTTACTCGTGATGTGTGTCCTCAACTAAAGGAGTAGAACCTTTCTATTCATAGAGAAGTTTTGAAACGCTCTTTTTGTGGGATCTCCAAGTGGATATTTGGCTAGTTTTGAGGATTTCGTTGGAAGCGGGAATTCATACAAATTGCAGACTGCAGCGTTCTGAGAAACATCTTTGTGATGTTTGTATTCAGGACACAGAGTTGAACATTCCCTATCATAGAGCAGGTTTGAATCACTCCTTTTGTAGTATCTGGAAGTGGACATTTGGAGCGCTTTCAGGCCTATGTTGAAAAAGGAAATATCTTCCCATAACAACTAGACACAAGCATTCTCAGAAACTTGTTTGTGATGTGTGCCCTCTACTGACACAGTTGAACCTTTCTTTTCATAGAGCACTTTCGAAACACTCTTTTTGTAGAATCTGCAAGAGGATATTTGCATAGCTTTGAGGATTTCGTGGGAAACGGGATTGTCTTCAGATAAAATCTAGACAGAAGCATTCTCAGAAACTTCTTTGGGATGTTTGCATTCAAGTCACAGAGTAGAACATTCCCTTTGGTAGAGCAGGTTTGAAACACTCTTTTTGTAGTATCTGGAAGTGGACATTTGCAGCACTTTCAGGCCCATGTTGGAAAGGGAAATATCTTCCCGTAACAACTAGGCAGAAGCATTCTCTGAAACTTTTTTGAGATGTGTGTACTCAACTAAGAGAATTGAACCACCGTTTTGAAGGAGCAGTTTTGAAACACTCTTTTTCTGGAATCTGCTAGACGATATTTGCCTAGCCTTGAGGATTTCGTTGGAAACGGGATTGTCTTCAGATAAAATCTAGACAGAAGCATTCTCAGAAACTTCTTTGGGATGTTTGTATTCAAGTCACAGAGTAGAACATTCCCTTTGATAGAGCAGGTTTGAAACACTCTTTTTTTAGTATATGGAAATGGACATTTGGAGCGCTTTCAGGCCTACGTTGGAAAAGGAAATATCTTCCCGTAACAACTAGACAGAAGCATTCTCAGAAACTAGTTTCTGATGTGTGTCCTCAACTAACACAGTTGAACTTTTCTTTAGACAGAACAGTTTTGAAACACTCTTTTTGTGGAATCTGCAAGTGGATATTTGGCTAGATTTGAGGATTTCGTTGGAAACGGGATTACATATAAAAAGCAGACAGCAGCATTCTCAGAAAGTTCTTTGTGATGATTGCATTCAAGTCACAGAATTGAACATTCCCTTTCACAGAGCAGGTTTGAAACACTCTTTTTGTAGTGTGTGTAAGTGGACATTTGGAGCGCTTTCCGGCCTAAGGTGAAAAAGGAAATATCTTCCCATAAAAACTAGACAGAAGCATTCTCAGAAACTTACTCGTGATGTGTGTCCTCAACTAAAGGAGTAGAACCTTTCTATTCATAGAGAAGTTTTGAAACGCTCTTTTTGTGGAATCTCCAAGTGGATATTTGGCTAGTTTTGAGGATTTCGTTGGAAGCGGGAATTCATACAAATTGCAGACTGCAGCGTTCTGAGAAACATCTTTGTGATGTTTGTATTCAGGACACAGAGATGAACATTCCCTATCATAGAGCAGGTTGGAATCACTCCTTTTGTAGTATCTGGAAGTGGACATTTGGAGCGCTTTCAGGCCTATGTTGAAAAAGGAAATATCTTCCCATAACAACTAGACCCAAGCATTCTCAGAAACTTGTTTGTGATGTGTGCCCTCTACTGACAGAGTTGAACCTTTCTTTTCATAGAGCAGTTTTGAAACACTCTTTTTGTAGAATCCGCAAGAGGATATTTGCATAGCTTTGAGGATTTCGTGGGAAACGGGATTGTCTTCAGGTAAAATCTAGACAGAAGCATTCTCAGAAACTTCTTTGGGATGTTTGCATTCAAGTCACAGAGTAGAACATTCCCTTTGGTAGAGCACGTTTGAAACACTCTTTTTGTAGTATCTGGAAGTGGACATTTGGAGCGCTTTCAGGCCCATGTTGGAAAGGGAAATATCTTCCCGTAACAACTAGGCAGAAGCATTCTCAGAAACTTATTTGAGATGTGTGTACTCAACGAAGAGAATTGAACCACCGTTTTGAAGGAGCAGTTTTGAAACACTCTTTTTCTGGAATCTGTAAGAGTATATTTGCCTAGCCTTGAGGATTTCGTTGGAAACGGGATTGTCTTCAGATAAAATCTAGACAGAAGCATTCTCAGAAACTTCTTTGGGATGTTTGCATTCAAGTCACAGAGTAGAACATTCCCTTTGGTAGAGCAGGTTTGAAACACTCTTTTTTTAGTATATGGAAGTGGACATTTGGAGCGCTTTCAGGCCTACGTTGGAAAAGGAAATATCTTCCCATAACAACTAGACAGAAGCATTCTCAGAAACTAGTTTCTGATGTGTGTCCTCAACTAACACAGTTGTACATTTCTTTAGACAGAACAGTTTTGAAACACTCTTTTTGTGGAATCTGCAAGTGGATATTGGGCTAGATTTGAGGATTTCGTTGGAAACGGGATTACATATAAAAAGCAGTCAGCAGCATTCTCAGAAAGTTCTTTGTGATGATTGCATTCAAGTCACAGAATTGAACATTCCCTTTCACAGAGCAGGTTTGAAACACTCTTTTTGTAGTGTGTGTAAGTGGACATTTGGAGTGCTTTCCGGCCTAAGGTGAAAAAGGACATATCTTCCCATAAAAACTAGACAGAAGCATTCTCAGAAACTTACTCGTGATGTGTGTCCTCAACTAAAGGAGTAGAACCTTTCTATTCATAGAGAAGTTTTGAAACGCTCTTTTTGTGGAATCTCCAAGTGGTTATTTGGTTAGTTTTGAGGATTTCGTTGGAAGCGGGAATTCATCCAAATGGCAGACTGCAGCGTTCTGAGAAACATCTTTGTGATGTTTGTATTCAGGACACAGAGATGAACATTCCCTATCATAGAGCATGTTGGAATCACTCCTTTTGTAGTATCTGGAAGTGGACATTTGGAGCGCTTTCAGGCCTATGTTGAAAAAGGAAATATCTTCCCATAACAACTAGACACAAGCATTCTCAGAAACTTGTTTGTGATGTGTGCCCTCTACTGACAGAGTTGAACCTTTCTTTTCATAGAGCAGTTTTGAAACACTCTTTTTGTAGAATCCGCAAGAGGATATTTGCATAGCTTTGAGGATTTCGTGGGAAACGGGATTGTCTTCAGGTAAAATCTAGACAGAAGCATTCTCAGAAACTTCTTTGGGATGTTTGCATTCAAGTCACAGAGTAGAACATTCCCTTTGGTAGAGCAGGTTTGAAACACTCTTTTTGTAGTATCTGGAAGTGGACATTTGGAGCGCTTTCAGGCCCATGTTGGAAAGGGAAATATCTTCCCGTAACAACTAGGCAGAAGCATTCTCAGAAACTTATTTGAGATGTGTGTACTCAACTAAGAGAACTGAACCACCGTTTTGAAGGAGCAGTTTTGAAACCCTCTTTTTCTGGAATCTGCAAGAGTACATTTGCCTAGCCTTGAGGATTTCGTTGGAAACGGGACTGTCTTCAGATAAAATCTAGACAGAAGCATTCTCAGAAACTTCTTTGGGATGTTTGCATTCAAGTCACAGAGTAGAACATTCCCTTTGGTAGAGCAGGTTTGAAACACTCTTTTTTTAGTATATGGAAGTGGACATTTGGAGCGCTTTCAGGCCTACGTTGGAAAAGGAAATATCTTCCCATAACAACTAGACAGAAGCATTCTCAGAAACTAGTTTCTGATGTGTGTCCTCAACTAACACAGTTGTACATTTCTTTATACAGAACAGTTTTGAAACACTCTTTTTGTGGAATCTGCAAGTGGATATTGGGCTAGATTTGAGGATTTCGTTGGAAACGGGATTACATATAAAAAGCAGACAGCAGCATTCTCAGAAAGTTCTTTGTGATGATTGCATTCAAGTCACAGAATTGAACATTCCCTTTCACAGAGCAGGTTTGAAACACTCTTTTTGTAGTGTGTGTAAGTGGACATTTGGAGCGCTTTCCGGGCTAAGGTGAAAAAGGAAATATCTTCCCATAAAAACTAGACAGAAGCATTCTCAGAAACTTACTCGTGATGTGTGTCCTCAACTAAAGGAGTAGAACCTTCCTTTTCATAGAGAAGTTTTGAAACGCTCTTTTTGTGGAATCTGCAAGTGGATATTTGGCTAGTTTTGAGGATTTCGTTGGAAGCGGGAATTCATACAAATTGCAGACTGCAGCGTTCTGAGAAACATCTTTGTGATGTTTGTATTCAGGACACAGAGTTGAACATTCCCTATCATAGAGCAGGTTTGAATCACTCCTTTTGTAGTATCTGGAAGTGGACATTTGGAGCGCTTTCAGGCCTATGTTGGAAAAGGAAATATCTTCCCATAACAACTAGACAGAAGCATTCTCAGAAACTTATTTGAGATGTGTGTACTCAACTAAGAGAATTGAACCACCGTTTTGAAGGAGCAGTTTTGAAACACTCTTTTTCTGGAATCTGCAAGTGGATATTTGGCTAGCTTTGGGGATTTCGCTGGAAGCGGGAATACATATAAAAAGCACACAGCAGCGTTCTGAGAAACTGCTTTCTGATGTTTGCATTCAAGTCAAAAGTTGAACACTCCCTTTCATAGTGCAGTCCTGAAACACTCCTTTTGTAGTATCTGGAACTGGACTTTTGGAGCGCTTTCAGGGCTAAGGTGAAAAAGGAAATATCTTCCCATAAAAACTGGACAGAAGCATTCTCAGAAACTTGTTTATGCTGTATCTACTCAACTAACAAAGTTGAACCTTTCTTTTGATAGAGCAGTTTTGAAATGCTCTTTTTGTGGAATCTGCAAGTGGATATTTGGCTAGTTTTGAGGATTTCGTTGGAAGCGGGAATTCATACAAATTGCAGACTGCAGCGTTCTGAGAAACATCTTTGTGATGTTTGTATTCAGGACAGAGAGTTGAACATTCCCTATCATAGAGCAGGTTGGAATCACTCCTTTTGTAGTATCTGGAAGTGGACATTTGGAGCGCTTTCAGGCCTATGTTGAAAAAGGAAATATCTTCCCATAACAACTAGACACAAGCATTCTCAGAAACTTGTTTGTGATGTGTGCCCTCTACTGACAGAGTTGAACCTTTCTTTTCATAGAGCAGTTTTGAAACACTCTTTTTGTAGAATCTGCAAGAGGATATTTGCATAGCTTTGAGGATTTCGTGGGAAACGGGATTGTCTTCAGGTAAAATCTAGACAGAAGTATTCTCAGAAACTTCTTTGGGATGTTTGCATTCAAGTCACAGAGCAGAACATTCCCTTTGGTAGAGCAGGTTTGAAACACTCTTTTTGTAGTATCTGGAAGTGGACATTTGGAGCGCTTTCAGTCCTATGTTGGAAAGGGAAATATCTTCCCGTAACAACTAGGCAGAAGCATTCTCAGAAACTTATTTGAGATGTGTGTACTCAACTAAGAGAATTGAACCACCGTTTTCAAGGAGCAGTTTTGAAACACTCTTTCTCTGGAATCTGCAAGAGGATATTTGCCTAGCCTTGAGGATTTCGTTGGAAACGGGATTGTCTTCAGATCAAATCTAGACAGAAGCATTCTCAGAAACTTCTTTGGGATGTTTGCATTCAAGTCACAGAGTAGAACATTCCCTTTGGTAGAGCAGGTTTGAAACACTCTTTTTTTAGTATATGGAAGTGGACATTTGGAGTGCTTTCAGGCCTACGTTGGAAAAGGAAATATCTTCCCATAACAACTAGACAGAAGCATTCTCAGAAACTAGTTTCTGATGTGTGTCCTCAACTAACACAGTTGAACATTTCCTTAGACAGAACAGTTTTGAAACACTCTTTTTGTGGAATCTGCAAGTGGCTATCTGGCTAGATTTGAGGATTTCGTTGGAAACGGGATTACATATAAAAAGCAGTCAGCAGCATTCTCAGAAAGTTCTTTGTGATGATTGCATTCAAGTCACAGAATTGAACATTCCCTTTCACAGAGCAGGTTTGAAACACTCTTTTTGTAGTGTGTGTAAGTGGACATTTGGAGCACTTACCGGCCTAAGGTGAAAAAGGAAATATCTTCCCATAAAAACTAGACAGAAGCATTCTCAGAAACTTACTCGTGATGTGTGTCCTCAACTAAAGGAGTAGAACCTTTCTTTTCATAGAGAAGTTTTGAAACGCTCTTTTTGTGGAATCTGCAAGTGGATATTTGGCTAGTTTTGAGGATTTCGTTGGAAGCGGGAATTCATACAAATTGCAGACTGCAGCGTTCTGAAAAACATCTTTGTGATGTTTGTATTCAGGACACAGAGTTGAACATTCCCTATCATAGAGCAGGTTGGAATCACTCCTTTGTAGTATCTGGAAGTGGACATTTGGAGCGCTTTCAGGCCTATGTTGAAAAAGGAAATATCTTCCCATAACAACTAGACACAAGCATTGCTCAGAAACTTATTTGAGATGTGTGTACTCAACTAAGAGAATTGAACCACCGTTTTGAAGGAGCAGTTTTGAAACTCTCTTTTTCTGGAATCTGCAAGTGGATATTTGGCTAGCTTTGGGGATTTCGCTGGAAGCGGGAATACATATAAAAAGCACACAGCAGCGTTCTGAGAAACTGCTTTCTGATGTTTGCATTCAAGTCAAAAGTTGAACACTCCCTTTCATAGAGCAGTCCTGAAACACTCCTTTTGTAGTATCTGGAACTGGACTTTTGGAGCGCTTTCAGGGCTAAGGTGAAAAAGGAAATATCTTCCCATAAAAACTGGACAGAAGCATTCTCAGAAACTTGTTTATGCTGTATCTACTCAACTAACAAAGTTGAACCTTTCTTTTGATAGAGCAGTTTTGAAATGGTCTTTTTGTGGAATCTGCAAGTGGATATTTGGCTAGTTTTGAGGATTTCGTTGGAAGCGGGAATTCATACAAATTGCAGACTGCAGCGTTCTGAGAAACATCTTTGTGATGTTTGTATTCAGGACAGAGAGTTGAACATTCCCTATCATAGAGCAGGTTGGAATCACTCCTTTTGTAGTATCTGGAAGTGGACATTTGGAGCGCTTTCAGGCCTATGTTGAAAAAGGAAATATCTTCCCATAACAACTAGACACAAGCATTCTCAGAAACTTGTTTGTGATGTGTGCCCTCTACTGACAGAGTTGAACCTTTCTTTTCATAGAGCAGTTTTGAAACACTCTTTTTGTAGAATCTGCAAGAGGATATTTGCATAGCTTTGAGGATTTCGTGGGAAACGGGATTGTCTTCAGGTAAAATCTAGACAGAAGCATTCTCAGAAACTTCTTTGGGATGTTTGCATTCAAGTCACAGAGTAGAACATTCCCTTTGGTAGAGCAGGTTTGAAACACTCTTTTTGTAGTATCTGGAAGTGGACATTTGGAGCGCTTTCAGGCCTATGTTGGAAAAGGAAATATCTTCCCATAACAACTAGACAGAAGCATTCTCAGAAACTAGTTTCTGATGTGTGTCCTCAACTAACACAGTTGTACATTTCTTTAGACAGAACAGTTTTGAAACACTCTTTTTGTGGAATCTGCAAGTGGATATTGGGCTAGATTTGAGGATTTCGTTGGAAACGGGATTACATATAAAAAGCAGACAGCAGCATTCTCAGAAAGTTCTTTGTGATGATTGCATTCAAGTCACAGAATTGAACATTCCCTTTCACAGAGCAGGTTTGAAACACTCTTTTTGTAGTGTGTGTAAGTGGACATTTGGAGCGCTTTCCGGCCTAAGGTGAAAAAGGAAATATCTTCCCATAAAAACTAGACAGAAGCATTCTCAGAAACTTACTCGTGATGTGTGTCCTCAACTAAAGGAGTAGAACCTTTCTATTCATAGAGAAGTTTTGAAACGCTCTTTTTGTGGAATCTCCAAGTGGATATTTGGCTAGTTTTGAGGATTTCGTTGGAAGCGGGAATTCATACAAATTGCAGACTGCAGCGTTCTGAGAAACATCTTTGTGATGTTTCTATTCAGGACACAGAGATGAACATTCCCTATCATAGAGCAGGTTGGAATCACTCCTTTTGTAGTATCTGGAAGTGGACATTTGGAGCGCTTTCAGGCCTATGTTGAAAAAGGAAATATCTTCCCATAACAACTAGACACAAGCATTCTCAGAAACTTGTTTGTGATGTGTGCCCTCTACTGACAGAGTTGAACCTTTCTTTTCATAGAGCAGTTTTGAAACACTCTTTTTGTAGAATCCGCAAGAGGATATTTGCATAGCTTTGAGGATTTCGTGGGAAACGGGATTGTCTTCAGGTAATATCTAGAGAGAAGCATTCTCAGAAACTTCTTTGGGATGTTTGCATTCAAGTCACAGAGTAGAACATTCCCTTTGGTAGAGCAGGTTTGAAACACTCTTTTTGTAGTATCTGGAAGTGGACATTTGGAGCGCTTTCAGGCCCATGTTGGAAAGGGAAATATCTTCCCGTAACAACTAGGCAGAAGCATTCTCAGAAACTTTTTTGAGATGTGTGTACTCAACTAAGAGAATTGAACCACCGTTTTGAAGGAGCAGTTTTGAAACCCTCTTTTTCTGGAATCTGCAAGAGTATATTTGCCTAGCCTTGAGGATTTCGTTGGAAACGGGATTGTCTTCAGATAAAATCTAGACAGAAGCATTCTCAGAAACTTCTTTGGGATGTTTGCATTCAAGTCACAGAGTAGAATATTCCCTTTGGTAGAGCAGGTTTGAAACACTCTTTTTTTAGTATATGGAAGTGGACATTTGGAGCGCTTTCAGGCCTACGTTGGAAAAGGAAATATCTTCCCATAACAACTAGACAGAAGCATTCTCAGAAACTAGTTTCTGATGTGTGTCCTCAACTAACACAGTTGTACATTTCTTTAGACAGAACAGTTTTGAAACACTCTTTTTGTGGAATCTGCAAGTGGATATTTGGCTAGATTTGAGGATTTCGTTGGAAACGGGATTACATATAAAAAGCAGACAGCAGCATTCTCAGAAAGTTCTTTGTGATGATTGCATTCAAGTCACAGAATTGAACATTCCCTTTCACAGAGCAGGTTTGAAACACTCTTTTTGTAGTGTGTGTAAGTGGACATTTGGAGCGCTTTCCGGCCTAAGGTGAAAAAGGAAATATCTTCCCATAAAAACTAGACAGAAGCATTCTCAGAAACTTACTCGTGATGTGTGTCCTCAACTAAAGGAGTAGAACCTTTCTATTCATAGAGAAGTTTTGAAACGCTCTTTTTGTGGAATCTCCAAGTGGATATTTGGCTAGTTTTGAGGATTTCGTTGGAAGCGGGAATTCATACAAATTGCAGACTGCAAGCGTTCTGAGAAACATCTTTGTGATGTTTGTATTCAGGACACAGAGATGAACATTCCCTATCATAGAGCAGGTTGGAATCACTCCTTTTGTAGTATCTGGAAGTGGACATTTGGAGCGCTTTCAGGCCTATGTTGAAAAAGGAAATATCTTCCCATAACAACTAGACACAAGCATTCTCAGAAACTTGTTTGTGATGTGTGCCCTCTACTGACAGAGTTGAACCTTTCTTTTCATAGAGCAGTTTTGAAACACTCTTTTTGTAGAATCCGCAAGAGGATATTTGCATAGCTTTGAGGATTTCGTGGGAAACGGGATTGTCTTCAGGTAAAATACTAGACAGAAGCATTCTCAGAAACTTCTTTGTTATGTTTGCATTCAAGTCACAGAGTAGAACATTCCCTTTGGTAGAGCAGGTTTGAAACCCTCTTTTTGTAGTATCTGGAAGTGGACATTTGGAGCGCATTCAGGCCCATGTTGGAAAGGGAAATATCTTCCCGTAACAACTATGCAGAAGCATTCTCAGAAACTTATTTGAGATGTGTGTACTCAACTAAGAGAATTGAACCAACGTTTTGAAGGAGCAGTTTTGAAACACTCTTTTTTCTGGAATCTGCAAAAGGATATTTGCCTAGCTTTGAGGATTTCGTTGGAAACGGGATTGTCTTCAGATAAAATCTAGACAGAAGCATTCTCAGAAACTTCTTTGGGATGTTTGCATTCAAGTCACAGAGTAGAACATTCCCTTTGGTAGAGCAGGTTTGAAACACTCTTTTTTTAGTATATGGAAGTGGACATTTGGAGCGCTTTCAGGCCTACGTTGGAAATATCTTCCCATAACAACTAGACAGAAGCATTCTCAGAAACTAGTTTCTGATGTGTGTCCTCAACTAACACAGTTGAACATTTCTTTAGACAGAACAGTTTTGAAACACTCTTTTTGTGGAATCTGCAAGTGGCTATTTGGCTAGATTTGAGGATTTCGTTGGAAACGGGATTACATATAAAAAGCAGTCAGCAGCATTCTCAGAAAGTTCTTTGTGATGATTGCATTCAAGTCACAGAATTGAACATTCCCTTTCACAGAGCAGGTTTGAAACACTCTTTTTGTAGTGTGTGTAAGTGGACATTTGGAGCACTTACCGGCCTAAGGTGAAAAAGGAAATATCTTCCCATAAAAACTAGACAGAAGCATTCTCAGAAACTTACTCGTGATGTGTGTCCTCAACTAAAGGAGTAGAACCTTTCTTTTCATAGAGAAGTTTTGAAACGCTCTTTTTGTGGAATCTGCAAGTGGATATTTGGCTAGTTTGGAGGATTTCGTTGGAAGCGGGAATTCATACAAATTGCAGACTGCAGCGTTGTGAGAAACATCTTTGTGATGTTTGTATTCAGGACACAGAGTTGAACATTCCCTATCATAGAGCAGGTTGGAATCACTCCTTTTGTAGTATCTGGAAGTGGACATTTGGAGCGCTTTCAGGCCTATGTTGGAAAAGGAAATATCTTCCCATAACAACTAGACAGAAGCATTCTCAGAAACTTATTTGAGATGTGTGTACTCAACTAAGAGAATTGAACCACCGTTTTGAAGGAGCAGTTTTGAAACTCTCTTTTTCTGGAATCTGCAAGTGGATATTTGGCTAGCTTTGGGGATTTCGCTGGAAGCGGGAATACATATAAAAAGCACACAGCAGCGTTCTGAGAAACTGCTTTCTGATGTTTGCATTCAAGTCAGAAGTTGAACACTCCCTTTCATAGAGCAGTCCTGAAACACTCCTTTTGTAGTATCTGGAACTGGACTTTTGGAGCGCTTTCAGGGCTAAGGTGAAAAAGGAAATATCTTCCCATAAAAACTGGACAGAAGCATTCTCAGCAAACTTGTTTATGCTGTATCTACTCAACTAACAAAGTTGAACCTTTCTTTTGATAGAGCAGTTTTGAAATGGTCTTTTTGTGGAATCTGCAAGTGGATATTTGGCTAGTTTTGAGGATTTCGTTGGAAGCGGGAATTCATACAAATTGCAGACTGCAGCGTTCTGAGAAACATCTTTGTGATGTTTGTATTCAGGACACAGAGTTGAACATTCCCTATCATAGAGCAGGTTGGAATCACTCCTTTTGTAGTATCTGGAAGTGGACATTTGGAGCGCTTTCAGGCCTATTTTGGAAAGGGAAATATCTTCCCGTAACAACTATGCAGAAGCATTCTCAGAAACTTGTTTGTGATGTGTGCCCTCTACTGACAGAGTTGAACCTTTCTTTTCATAGAGCAGTTTTGAAACACTCTTTTTGTAGAATCTGCAAGAGGATATTTGCATAGCTTTGAGGATTTCGTGGGAAACGGGATTGTCTTCAGGTAAAATCTAGACAGAAGCATTCTCAGAAACTTCTTTGGGATGTTTGCATTCAAGTCACAGAGTAGAACATTCCCTTTGGTAGAGCAGGTTTGAAACACTCTTTTTGTAGTATCTGGAAGTGGACATTTGGAGCGCTTTCATGCCCATGTTGGAAAGGGAAATATCTTCCCGTAACAACTAGGCAGAAGCATTCTCAGAAACTTATTTGAGATGTGTGTACTCAACTAAGAGAATTGAACCACCGTTTTGAAGGAGCAGTTTTGAAACACTCTTTTTCTGGAATCTGCAAGAGTATATTTGCCTAGCCTTGAGGATTTCGTTGGAAACGGGATTGTCTTCAGAGAAAATCTAGACAGAAGCATTCTCAGAAACTTCTTTGGGATGTTTGCATTCAAGTCACAGAGTAGAACATTCCCTTTGGTAGAGCAGGTTTGAAACACTCTTTTTGTAGTATCTGGAAGTGGACATTTGGAGCGCTTTCAGGCCTACGTTGGAAAAGGAAATATCTTCCCATAACAACTAGACAGAAGCATTCTCAGAAACTAGTTTCTGATGTGTGTCCTCAACTAACACAGTTGAACATTTCTTTAGACAGAACAGTTTTGAAACACTCTTTTTGTGGAATCTGCAAGTGGCTATTTGGCTAGATTTGAGGATTTCGTTGGAAACGGGATTACATATAAAAAGCAGTCAGCAGCATTCTCAGAAAGTTCTTTGTGATGATTGCATTCAAGTCACAGAATTGAACATTCCCTTTCACAGAGCAGGTTTGAAACACTCTTTTTGTAGTGTGTGTAAGTGGACATTTGGAGCACTTACCGGCCTAAGGTGAAAAAGGAAATATCTTCCCATAAAAACTAGACAGAAGCATTCTCAGAAACTTACTCGTGATGTGTGTCCTCAACTAAAGGAGTAGAACCTTTCTTTTCATAGAGAAGTTTTGAAACGCTCTTTTTGTGGAATCTGCAAGTGGATATTTGGCTAGTTTTGAGGATTTCGTTGGAAGCGGGAATTCATACAAATTGCAGACTGCAGCGTTCTGAGAAACATCTTTGTGATGTTTGTATTCAGGACACAGAGTTGAACATTCCCTATCATAGAGCAGGTTGGAATCACTCCTTTTGTAGTATCTGGAAGTGGACATTTGGAGCGCTTTCAGGCCTATGTTGGAAAAGGAAATATCTTCCCATAACAACTAGACAGAAGCATTCTCAGAAACTTATTTGAGATGTGTGTACTCAACTAAGAGAATTGAACCACCGTTTTGAAGGAGCAGTTTTGAAACTCTCTTTTTCTGGAATCTGCAAGTGGATATTTGGCTAGCTTTGGGGATTTCGCTGGAAGCGGGAATACATATAAAAAGCACACAGCAGCGTTCTGAGAAACTGCTTTCTGATGTTTGCATTCAAGTCAAAAGTTGAACACTCCCTTTCATAGAGCAGTCTTGAAACACCCCTTTTGTAGTATCTGGAACTGGACTTTTGGAGCGATTTCAGGGCTAAGGTGAAAAAGGAAATATCTTCCCATAAAAACTGGACAGAAGCATTCTCAGAAACTTGTTTATGCTGTATCTACTCAACTAACAAAGTTGAACCTTTCTTTTGATAGAGCAGTTTTGAAATGGTCTTTTTGTGGAATCTGCAAGTGGATATTTGGCTAGTTTTGAGGATTTCGTTGGAAGCGGGAATTCATACAAATTGCAGACTGCAGCGTTCTGAGAAACATCTTTGTGATGTTTGTATTCAGGACACAGAGTTGAACATTCCCTATCATAGAGCAGGTTGGAATCACTCCTTTTGTAGTATCTGGAAGTGGACATTTGGAGCGCTTTCAGGCCTATTTTGGAAAGGGAAATATCTTCCCGTAACAACTATGCAGAAGCATTCTCAGAAACTTGTTTGTGATGTGTGCCCTCTACTGACAGAGTTGAACCTTTCTTTTCATAGAGCAGTTTTGAAACACTCTTTTTGTAGAATCTGCAAGAGGATATTTGCATAGCTTTGAGGATTTCGTGGGAAACGGGATTGTCTTCAGGTAAAATCTAGACAGAAGCATTCTCAGAAACTTCTTTGGGATGTTTGCATTCAAGTCACAGAGTAGAACATTCCCTTTGGTAGAGCAGGTTTGAAACACTCTTTTTGTAGTATCTGGAAGTGGACATTTGGAGCGCTTTCAGGCCCATGTTGGAAAGGGAAATATCTTCCCGTAACAACTAGGCAGAAGCATTCTCAGAAACTTATTTGAGATGTGTGTACTCAACTAAGAGAATTGAACCACCGTTTTGAAGGAGCAGTTTTGAAACACTCTTTTTCTGGAATCTGCAAGAGTATATTTGCCTAGCCTTGAGGATTTCGTTGGAAACGGGATTGTCTTCAGAGAAAATCTAGACAGAAGCATTCTCAGAAACTTCTTTGGGATGCTTGCATTCAAGTCACAGAGTAGAACATTCCCTTTGGTAGAGCAGGTTTGAAACACTCTTTTTGTAGTATCTGGAAGTGGACATTTGGAGCGCTTTCAGGCCTACGTTGGAAAAGGAAATATCTTCCCATAACAACTAGACAGAAGCATTCTCAGAAACTAGTTTCTGATGTGTGTCCTCAACTAACACAGTTGAACATTTCTTTAGACAGAACAGTTTTGAAACACTCTTTTTGTGGAATCTGCAAGTGGCTATTTGGCTAGATTTGAGGATTTCGTTGGAAACGGGATTACATATAAAAAGCAGTCAGCAGCATTCTCAGAAAGTTCTTTGTGATGATTGCATTCAAGTCACAGAATTGAACATTCCCTTTCACAGAGCAGGTTTGAAACACTCTTTTTGTAGTGTGTGTAAGTGGACATTTGGAGCACTTACCGGCCTAAGGTGAAAAAGGAAATATCTTCCCATAAAAACTAGACAGAAGCATTCTCAGAAACTTACTCGTGATGTGTGTCCTCAACTAAAGGAGTAGAACCTTTCTTTTCATAGAGAAGTTTTGAAACGCTCTTTTTGTGGAATCTGCAAGTGGATATTTGGCTAGTTTTGAGGATTTCGTTGGAAGCGGGAATTCATACAAATTGCAGACTGCAGCGTTCTGAGAAACATCTTTGTGATGTTTGTATTCAGGACACAGAGTTGAACATTCCCTATCATAGAGCAGGTTTGAATCACTCCTTTTGTAGTATCTGGAAGTGGACATTTGGAGCGCTTTCAGGCCTATGTTGGAAAAGGAAATATCTTCCCATAACAACTAGACAGAAGCATTCTCAGAAACTTATTTGAGATGTGTGTACTCAACTAAGAGAATTGAACCACCGTTTTGAAGGAGCAGTTTTGAAACACTCTTTTTCTGGAATCTGCAAGTGGATATTTGGCTAGCTTTGGGGATTTCGCTGGAAGCGGGAATACATATAAAAAGCACACAGCAGCGTTCTGAGAAACTGCTTTCTGATGTTTGCATTCAAGTCAAAAGTTGAACACTCCCTTTCATAGAGCAGTCTTGAAACACCCCTTTTGTAGTATCTGGAACTGGACTTTTGGAGCGATTTCAGGGCTAAGGTGAAAAAGGAAATATCTTCCCATAAAAACTGGACAGAAGCATTCTCAGAAACTTGTTTATGCTGTATCTACTCAACTAACAAAGTTGAACCTTTCTTTTGATAGAGCAGTTTTGAAATGGTCTTTTTGTGGAATCTGCAAGTGGATATTTGGCTAGTTTTGAGGATTTCGTTGGAAGCGGGAATTCATACAAATTGCAGACTGCAGCGTTCTGAGAAACATCTTTGTGATGTTTGTATTCAGGACACAGAGTTGAACATTCCCTATCATAGAGCAGGTTGGAATCACTCCTTTTGTAGTATCTGGAAGTGGACATTTGGAGCGCTTTCAGGCCTATTTTGGAAAGGGAAATATCTTCCCGTAACAACTATGCAGAAGCATTCTCAGAAACTTGTTTGTGATGTTGTGCCCTCTACTGACAGAGTTGAACCTTTCTTTTCATAGAGCAGTTTTGAAACACTCTTTTTGTAGAATCTGCAAGAGGATATTTGCATAGCTTTGAGGATTTCGTGGGAAACGGGATTGTCTTCAGGTAAAATCTAGACAGAAGCATTCTCAGAAACTTCTTTGGGATGTTTGCATTCAAGTCACAGAGTAGAACATTCCCTTTGGTAGAGCAGGTTTGAAACACTCTTTTTGTAGTATCTGGAAGTGGACATTTGGAGCGCTTTCAGGCCCATGTTGGAAAGGGAAATATCTTCCCGTAACAACTAGGCAGAAGCATTCTCAGAAACTTATTTGAGATGTGTGTACTCAACTAAGAGAATTGAACCACCGTTTTGAAGGAGCAGTTTTGAAACACTCTTTTTCTGGAATCTGCAAGAGGATATTTGCCTAGCCTTGAGGATTTCGTTGGAAACGGGATTGTCTTCAGAGAAAATCTAGACAGAAGCATTCTCAGAAACTTCTTTGGGATGCTTGCATTCAAGTCACAGAGTAGAACATTCCCTTTGGTAGAGCAGGTTTGAAACACTCTTTTCGTAGTATCTGGAAGTGGACATTTGGAGCGCTTTCAGGCCTACGTTGGAAAAGGAAATATCTTCCCATAACAACTAGACAGAAGCATTCTCAGAAACTAGTTTCTGATGTGTGTCCTCAACTAACACAGTTGAACATTTCTTTAGACAGAACAGTTTTGAAACACTCTTTTTGTGGAATCTGCAAGTGGCTATTTGGCTAGATTTGAGGATTTCGTTGGAAACGGGATTACATATAAAAAGCAGTCAGCAGCATTCTCAGAAAGTTCTTTGTGATGATTGCATTCAAGTCACAGAATTGAACATTCCCTTTCACAGAGCAGGTTTGAAACACTCTTTTTGTAGTGTGTGTAAGTGGACATTTGGAGCACTTACCGGCCTAAGGTGAAAAAGGAAATAATCTTCCCATAAAAACTAGACAGAAGCATTCTCAGAAACTTACTCGTGATGTGTGTCCTCAACTAAAGGAGTAGAACCTTTCTTTTCATAGAGAAGTTTTGAAACGCTCTTTTTGTGGAATCTGCAAGTGGATATTTGGCTAGTTTTGAGGATTTCGTTGGAAGCGGGAATTCATACAAATTGCAGACTGCAGCGTTCTGAGAAACATCTTTGTGATGTTTGTATTCAGGACACAGAGTTGAACATTCCCTATCATAGAGCAGGTTTGAATCACTCCTTTTGTAGTATCTGGAAGTGGACATTTGGAGCGCTTTCAGGCCTATGTTGGAAAAGGAAATATCTTCCCATAACAACTAGACAGAAGCATTCTCAGAAACTTATTTGAGATGTGTGTACTCAACTAAGAGAATTGAACCACCGTTTTGAAGGAGCAGTTTTGAAACTCTCTTTTTCTGGAATCTGCAAGTGGATATTTGGCTAGCTTTGGGGATTTCGCTGGAAGCGGGAATACATATAAAAAGCACACAGCAGCGTTCTGAGAAACTGCTTTCTGATGTTTGCATTCAAGTCAAAAGTTGAACACTCCCTTTCATAGAGCAGTCCTGAAACACCCCTTTGGTAGTATCTGGAACTGGACTTTTGGAGCGATTTCAGGGCTAAGGTGAAAAAGGAAATATCTTCCCATAAAAACTGGACAGAAGCATTCTCAGAAACTTGTTTATGCTGTATCTACTCAACTAACAAAGTTGAACCTTTCTTTTGATAGAGCAGTTTTGAAATGGTCTTTTTGTGGAATCTGCAAGTGGATATTTGGCTAGTTTTGAGGATTTCGTTGGAAGCGGGAATTCATACAAATTGCAGACTGCAGCGTTCTGAGAAACATCTTTGTGGTGTTTGTATTCAGGACAGAGGGTTGAACATTCCCTATCATAGAGCAGGTTGGAATCACTCCTTTTGTAGTATCTGGAAGTGGACATTTGGAGCGCTTTTTGGCCTATGTTGAAAAAGGAAATATCTTCCCATAACAACTAGACACAAGCATTCTCAGAAACTTGTTTGTGATGTGTGCCCTCTACTGACAGAGTTGAACCTCTCTTTTCATAGAGCAGTTTTGAAACACTCTTTTTGTAGAATCTGCAAGAGGATATTTGCATAGCTTTGAGGATTTCGTGGGAAACTGGATTGTCTTCAGGTAAAATCTAGACAGAAGCATTCTCAGAAACTTCTTTGGGATGTTTGCATTCAAGTCACAGAGTAGAACATTCCCTTTGGTAGAGCAGGTTTGAAACACTCTTTTTGTAGTATCTGGAAGTGGACATTTGGAGCGCTTTCAGGCCTATGTTGGAAAGGGAAATATCTTCCCGTAACAACTAGGCAGAAGCATTCTCAGAAACTTATTTGAGATGTGTGTACTCAACTAAGAGAATTGAACCACCATTTTGAAGGAGCAGTTTTGAAACACTCTTTTTCTGGAATCTGCAAGAGTATATTTGCCTAGCCTTGAGGATTTCGTTGGAAACCGGATTGTCTTCAGATAAAATCTAGACAGAAGTATTCTCAGAAACTTCTTTGGGATGTTTGCATTCAAGTCACAGAGTAGAACATTCCCTTTGGTAGAGCAGGTTTGAAACACTCTTTTTGTAGTATCTGGAAGTGGACATTTGGAGCGCTTTCAGACCTACGTTGGAAAAGGAAATATCTTCCCATAACAACTAGACAGAAGCATTCTCAGAAACTAGTTTCTGATGTGTGTCCTCAACTAACACAGTTGAACATTTCTTTAGACAGAACAGTTTTGAAACACTCTTTTTGTGGAATCTGCAAGTGGCTATTTGGCTAGATTTGAGGATTTCGTTGGAAACGGGATTACATATAAAAAGCAGTCAGCAGCATTCTCAGAAACTTCTTTGTGATGATTGCATTCAAGTCACAGAATTGAACATTCCCTTTCACAGAGCAGGTTTGAAACACTCTTTTTGTAGTGTGTGTAAGTGGACATTTGGAGCACTTTCCGGCCTAAGGTGAAAAAGGAAATATCTTCCCATAAAAACTAGACAGAAGCATTCTCAGAAACTTACTCGTGATGTGTGTCCTCAACTAAAGGAGTAGAACCTTTCTTTTCATAGAGAAGTTTTGAAACGCTCTTTTTGTGGAATCTGCAAGTGGATATTTGGCTAGTTTTGAGGATTTCGTTGGAAGCGGGAATTCATACAAATTGCAGCCTGCAGCGTTCTGAGAAACATCTTTGTGATGTTTGTATTCAGGACATAGAGTTGAACATTCCCTATCATAGAGCAGGTTGGAATCACTCCTTTTGTAGTATCTGGAAGTGGACATTTGGAGCGCTTTCAGGCCTATGTTGAAAAAGGAAATATCTTCCCATAACAACTAGACACAAGCATTCTCAGAAACTTATTTGAGATGTGTGTACTCAACTAAGAGAATTGAACCACCGTTTTGAAGGAGCAGTTTTGAAACTCTCTTTTTCTGGAATCTGCAAGTGGATATTTGGCTAGCTTTGGGGATTTCGCTGGAAGCGGGAATACATATAAAAAGCACACAGCAGCGTTCTGAGAAACTGCTTTCTGATGTTTGCATTCAAGTCAAAAGTTGAACACTCCCTTTCATAGAGCAGTCTTGAAACACCCCTTTTGTAGTATCTGGAACTGGACTTTTGGAGCGATTTCAGGGCTAAGGTGAAAAAGGAAATATCTTCCCATAAAAACTGGACAGAAGCATTCTCAGAAACTTGGTTATGCTGTATCTACTCAACTAACAAAGTTGAACCTTTCTTTTGATAGAGCAGTTTTGAAATGGTCTTTTTGTGGAATCTGCAAGTGGATACTTGGCTAGTTTTGAGGATTTCGTTGGAAGCGGGAATTCATACAAATTGCAGACTGCAGCGTTCTGAGAAACATCTTTGTGATGTTTGTATTCAGGACAGAGAGTTGAACATTCCCTATCATAGAGCAGGTTGGAATCACTCCTTTTGTAGTATCTGGAAGTGGACATTTGGAGCGCTTTCAGGCCTATGTTGAAAAAGGAAATATCTTCCCATAACAACTAGACACAAGCATTCTCAGAAACTTGTTTGTGATGTGTGCCCTCTACTGACAGAGTTGAACCTTTCTTTTCATAGAGCAGTTTTGAAACACTCTTTTTGTAGAATCTGCAAGAGGATATTTGCATAGCTTTGAGGATTTCGTGGGAAACGGGATTGTCTTCAGGTAAAATCTAGACAGAAGCATTCTCAGAAACTTCTTTGGGATGTTTGCATTCAAGTCACAGAGTAGAACATTCCCTTTGGTAGAGCAGGTTTGAAATACTCTTTTTATAGTATCTGGAAGTGGACATTTGGAGCGCTTTCAGGCCTATGTTGGAAAGGGAAATATCTTCCCGTAACAACTAGGCAGAAGCATTCTCAGAAACTTATTTGAGATGTGTGTACTCAACTAAGAGAATTGAACCACCGTTTTGAAGGAGCAGTTTTGAAACACTCTTTTTCTGGAATCTGCAAGAGGATATTTGCCTAGCCTTGAGGATTTCGTTGGAAACGGGATTGTCTTCAGATCAAATCTAGACAGAAGCATTCTCAGAAACTTCTTTGGGATGTTTGCATTCAAGTCACAGAGTAGAACATTCCCTTTGGTAGAGCAGGTTTGAAACACTGTTTTTTTAGTATATGGAAGTGGACATTTGGAGCGCTTTCAGGCCTACGTTGGAAAAGGAAATATCTTCCCATAACAACTAGACAGAAGCATTCTCAGAAACTAGTTTCTGATGTGTGTCCTCAACTAACACAGTTGAGCATTTCTTTAGACAGAACAGTTTTGAAACACTCTTTTTGTGGAATCTGCAAGTGGCTATTTGGCTAGATTTGAGGATTTCGTTGGAAACGGGATTACATATAAAAAGCAGACAGCAGCATTCTCAGAAAGTTCTTTGTGATGATTGCATTCAAGTCACAGAATTGAACATTCCCTTTCACAGAGCAGGTTTGAAACACTCTTTTTGTAGTGTGTGTAAGTGGACATTTGGAGCACTTTCCGGCCTAAGGTGAAAAAGGAAATATCTTCCCATAAAAACTAGACAGAAGCATTCTCAGAAACTTACTCGTGATGTGTGTCCTCAACTAAAGGAGTAGAACCTTTCTTTTCATAGAGAAGTTTTGAAACGCTCTTTTTGTGGAATCTGCAAGTGGATATTTGGCTAGTTTGGAGGATTTCGTTGGAAGCGGGAATTCATACAAATTGCAGACTGCAGCGTTCTGAGAAACATCTTTGTGATGTTTGTATTCAGGACACAGAGTTGAACATTCCCTATCATAGAGCAGGTTTGAATCACTCCTTTTGTAGTATCTGGAAGTGGACATTTGGAGCGCTTTCAGGCCTATGTTGGAAAAGGAAATATCTTCCCATAACAACTAGACAGAAGCATTCTCAGAAACTTATTTGAGATGTGTGTACTCAACTAAGAGAATTGAACCACCGTTTTGAAGGAGCAGTTTTGAAACACTCTTTTTCTGGAATCTGCAAGTGGATATTTGGCTAGCTTTGGGGATTTCGCTGGAAGCGGGAATACATATAAAAAGCACACAGCAGCGTTCTGAGAAACTGCTTTCTGATGTTTGCATTCAAGTCAAAAGTTGAACACTCCCTTTCATAGTGCAGTCTGAAACACTCCTTTTGTAGTATCTGGAACTGGACTTTTGGAGCGCTTTCAGGGCTAAGGTGAAAAAGGAAATATCTTCCCATAAAAACTGGACAGAAGCATTCTCAGAAACTTGTTTATGCTGTATCTACTCAACTAACAAAGTTGAACCTTTCTTTTGATAGAGCAGTTTTGAAATGCTCTTTTTGTGGAATCTGCAAGTGGATATTTGGCTAGTTTTGAGGATTTCGCTGGAAGCGGGAATTCATACAAATTGCAGACTGCAGCGTTCTGAGAAACATCTTTGTGATGTTTGTATTCAGGACACAGAGTTGAACATTCCCTATCATAGAGCAGGTTTGAATCACTCCTTTTCTAGTATCTGGAAGTGGACATTTGGAGCGCTTTCAGGCCTATGTTGGAAAAGGAAATATCTTCCCATAACAAATAGACAGAAGCATTCTCAGAAACTTATTTGAGATGTGTGTACTCAACTAAGAGAATTGAACCACCGTTTTGAAGGAGCAGTTTTGAAACTCTCTTTTTCTGGAATCTGCAAGTGGATATTTGGCTAGCTTTGGGGATTTCGCTGGAAGCGGGAATACATATAAAAAGCACACAGCAGCGTTCTGAGAAACTGCTTTCTGATGTTTGCATTCAAGTCAAAAGTTGAACACTCCCTTTCATAGAGCAGTCCTGAAACACCCCTTTTGTAGTATCTGGAACTGGACTTTTGGAGCGATTTCAGGGCTAAGGTGAAAAAGGAAATATCTTCCCATAAAAACTGGACAGAAGCATTCTCAGAAACTTGTTTATGCTGTATCTACTCAACTAACAAAGTTGAACCTTTCTTTTGATAGAGCAGTTTTGAAATGGTCTTTTTGTGGAATCTGCAAGTGGATATTTGGCTAGTTTTGAGGATTTCGTTGGAAGCGGGAATTCATACAAATTGCAGACTGCAGCGTTCTGAGAAACATCTTTGTGATGTTTGTATTCAGGACACAGAGTTGAACATTCCCTATCATAGAGCAGGTTGGAATCACTCCTTTTGTAGTATCTGGAAGTGGACATTTGGAGCGCTTTCAGGCCTATTTTGGAAAGGGAAATATCTTCCCGTAACAACTATGCAGAAGCATTCTCAGAAACTTGTTTGTGATGTGTGCCCTCTACTGACAGAGTTGAACCTTTCTTTTCATAGAGCAGTTTTGAAACACTCTTTTTGTAGAATCTGCAAGAGGATATTTGCATAGCTTTGAGGATTTCGTGGGAAACGGGATTGTCTTCAGGTAAAATCTAGACAGAAGCATTCTCAGAAACTTCTTTGGGATGTTTGCATTCAAGTCACAGAGTAGAACATTCCCTTTGGTAGAGCAGGTTTGAAACACTCTTTTTGTAGTATCTGGAAGTGGACATTTGGAGCGCTTTCAGGCCCATGTTGGAAAGGGAAATATCTTCCCGTAACAACTAGGCAGAAGCATTCTCAGAAACTTATTTGAGATGTGTGTACTCAACTAAGAGAATTGAACCACCGTTTTGAAGGAGCAGTTTTGAAACACTCTTTTTCTGGAATCTGCAAGAGTATATTTGCCTAGCCTTGAGGATTTCGTTGGAAACGGGATTGTCTTCAGAGAAAATCTAGACAGAAGCATTCTCAGAAACTTCTTTGGGATGCTTGCATTCAAGTCACAGAGTAGAACATTCCCTTTGGTAGAGCAGGTTTGAAACACTCTTTTTGTAGTATCTGGAAGTGGACATTTGGAGCGCTTTCAGGCCTACGTTGGAAAAGGAAATATCTTCCCATAACAACTAGACAGAAGCATTCTCAGAAACTAGTTTCTGATGTGTGTCCTCAACTAACACAGTTGAACATTTCTTTAGACAGAACAGTTTTGAAACACTCTTTTTGTGGAATCTGCAAGTGGCTATTTGGCTAGATTTGAGGATTTCGTTGGAAACGGGATTACATATAAAAAGCAGCCAGCAGCATTCTCAGAAAGTTCTTTGTGATGATTGCATTCAAGTCACAGAATTGAACATTCCCTTTCACAGAGCAGGTTTGAAACACTCTTTTTGTAGTGTGTGTAAGTGGACATTTGGAGCACTTACCGGCCTAAGGTGAAAAAGGAAATAATCTTCCCATAAAAACTAGACAGAAGCATTCTCAGAAACTTACTCGTGATGTGTGTCCTCAACTAAAGGAGTAGAACCTTTCTTTTCATAGAGAAGTTTTGAAACGCTCTTTTTGTGGAATCTGCAAGTGGATATTTGGCTAGTTTGGAGGATTTCGTTGGAAGCGGGAATTCATACAAATTGCAGACTGCAGCGTTCTGAGAAACATCTTTGTGATGTTTGTATTCAGGACACAGAGTTGAACATTCCCTATCATAGAGCAGGTTTGAATCACTCCTTTTCTAGTATCTGGAAGTGGACATTTGGAGCGCTTTCAGGCCTATGTTGGAAAAGGAAATATCTTCCCATAACAAATAGACAGAAGCATTCTCAGAAACTTATTTGAGATGGGTGTACTCAACTAAGAGAATTGAACCACCGTTTTCAAGGAGCAGTTTTGAAACGCTCTTTTTCTGGAATCTGCAAGTGGATATTTGGCTAGCTTTGGGGATTTCGCTGGAAGCGGGAATACATATAAAAAACACACAGCAGCGTTCTGAGAAACTGCTTTCTGATGTTTGCATTCAAATCAAAAGTTGAACACTCCCTTTCATAGAGCAGTCTTGAAACACCCCTTTTGTAGTATCTGGAACTGGACATTTGGGGCGCTTTCAGGGCTAAGGTGAAAAAGGAAATATCTTCCCATAAAAACTGGACAGAAGCATTCTCAGAAACTTGTTTATGCTGTATCTACTCAACTAACAAAGTTGAACCTTTCTTTTGATAGAGCAGTTTTGAAATGGTCTTTTTGTGGAATCTGCAAGTGGATATTTGGCTAGTTTTGAGGATTTCGTTGGAAGCGGGAATTCATACAAATTGCAGACTGCAGCGTTCTGAGAAACATCTTTGTGATGTTTGTATTCAGGACACAGAGTTGAACATTCCCTATCATAGAGCAGGTTGGAATCACTCCTTTTGTAGTATCTGGAAGTGGACATTTGGAGCGCTTTCAGGCCTATTTTGGAAAGGGAAATATCTTCCCGTAACAACTATGCAGAAGCATTCTCAGAAACTTGTTTGTGATGTGTGCCCTCTACTGACAGAGTTGAACCTTTCTTTTCATAGAGCAGTTTTGAAACACTCTTTTTGTAGAATCTGCAAGAGGATATTTGCATAGCTTTGAGGATTTCGTGGGAAACGGGATTGTCTTCAGGTAAAATCTAGACAGAAGCATTCTCAGAAACTTCTTTGGGATGTTTGCATTCAAGTCACAGAGTAGAACATTCCCTTTGGTAGAGCAGGTTTGAAACACTCTTTTTGTAGTATCTGGAAGTGGACATTTGGAGCGCTTTCAGGCCCATGTTGGAAAGGGAAATATCTTCCCGTAACAACTAGGCAGAAGCATTCTCAGAAACTTATTTGAGATGTGTGTACTCAACTAAGAGAATTGAACCACCGTTTTGAAGGAGCAGTTTTGAAACACTCTTTTTCTGGAATCTGCAAGAGTATATTTGCCTAGCCTTGAGGATTTCGTTGGAAACGGGATTGTCTTCAGAGAAAATCTAGACAGAAGCATTCTCAGAAACTTCTTTGGGATGTTTGCATTCAAGTCACAGAGTAGAACATTCCCTTTGGTAGAGCAGGTTTGAAACACTCTTTTTGTAGTATCTGGAAGTGGACATTTGGAGCGCTTTCAGGCCTACGTTGGAAAAGGAAATATCTTCCCATAACAACTAGACAGAAGCATTCTCAGAAACTAGTTTCTGATGTGTGTCCTCAACTAACACAGTTGAACATTTCTTTAGACAGAACAGTTTTGAAACACTCTTTTTGTGGAATCTGCAAGTGGCTATTTGGCTAGATTTGAGGATTTCGTTGGAAACGGGATTACATATAAAAAGCAGACAGCAAGCATTCTCAGAAAGTTCTTTGTGATGATTGTATTCAAGTCACAGAATTGAACATTCCCTTTCACAGAGCAGGTTTGAAACACATTTTTTGTAGTATGTGTAAGTGGACATTTGGAGCGCTTTCCGGCCTAAGGTGAAAAAGGAAATATCTTCCCATAAAAACTAGACAGAAGCATTCTCAGAAACTTACTCGTGATGTGTGTCCTCAACTAAAGGAGTAGAACCTTTCTTTTCATAGAGAAGTTTTGAAACGCTCTTTTTGTGGAATCTGCAAGTGGATATTTGGCTAGTTTTGAGGATTTCGTTGGAAGCGGGAATTCATACAAATTGCAGACTGCAGCGTTCTGAGAAACATCTTTGTGATGTTTGTATTCAGGACACAGAGTTGAACATTCCCTATCATAGAGCAGGTTGGAATCACTCCTTTTGTAGTATCTGGAAGTGGACATTTGGAGCGCTTTCAGGCCTATGTTGAAAAAGGAAATATCTTCCCATAACAACTAGACACAAGCATTCTCAGAAACTTGTTTGTGATGTGTGCCCTCTACTGACAGAGTTGAACCTTTCTTTTCATAGAGCAGTTTTGAAACACTCTTTTTGTAGAATCTGCAAGAGGATATTTGCATAGCTTTGAGGATTTCGTGGGAAACGGGATTGTCTTCAGGTAAAATCTAGACAGAAGCATTCTCAGAAACTTCTTTGGGATGTTTGCATTCAAGTCACAGAGCAGAACATTCCCTTTGGTAGAGCAGGTTTGAAACACTCTTTTTGTAGTATCTGGAAGTGGACATTTGGAGCGCTTTCAGGCCTATGTTGGAAAGGGAAATATCTTCCCGTAACAACTAGGCAGAAGCATTCTCAGAAACTTATTTGAGATGTGTGTACTCAACTAAGAGAATTGAACCACCGTTTTGAAGGAGCAGTTTTGAAACACTCTTTTTCTGGAATCTGCAAGAGGATATTTGCCTAGCCTTGAGGATTTCGTTGGAAACGGGATTGTCTTCAGATCAAATCTAGACAGAAGCATTCTCAGAAACTTCTTTGGGATGTTTGCATTCAAGTCACAGAGTAGAACATTCCCTTTGGTAGAGCAGGTTTGAAACACTGTTTTTTTAGTATATGGAAGTGGACATTTGGAGCGCTTTCAGGCCTACGTTGGAAAAGGAAATATCTTCCCATAACAACTAGACAGAAGCATTCTCAGAAACTAGTTTCTGATGTGTGTCCTCAACTAACACAGTTGAACATTTCTTTAGACAGAACAGTTTTGAAACACTCTTTTTGTGGAATCTGCAAGTGGCTATTTGGCTAGATTTGAGGATTTCGTTGGAAACGGGATTACATATAAAAAGCAGACAGCAGCATTCTCAGAAAGTTCTTTGTGATGATTGCATTCAAGTCACAGAATTGAACATTCCCTTTCACAGAACAGGTTTGAAACACTCTTTTTGTAGTGTGTGTAAGTGGACATTTGGAGCACTTTCTGGCCTAAGGTGAAAAAGGAAATATCTTCCCATAAAAACTAGACAGAAGCATTCTCAGAAACTTACTCGTGATGTGTGTCCTCAACTAAAGGAGTAGAACCTTTCTTTTCATAGAGAAGTTTTGAAACGCTCTTTTTGTGGAATCTGCAAGTGGATATTTGGCTAGTTTTGAGGATTTCGTTGGAAGCGGGAATTCATACAAATTGCAGACTGCAGCGTTCTGAGAAACATCTTTGTGATGTTTGTATTCAGGACACAGAGTTGAACATTCCCTATCATAGAGCAGGTTGGAATCACTCCTTTTGTAGTATCTGGAAGTGGACATTTGGAGCGCTTTCAGGCCTATGTTGGAAAAGGAAATATCTTCCCATAACAACTAGACAGAAGCATTCTCAGAAACTTATTTGAGATGTGTGTACTCAACTAAGAGAATTGAACCACCGTTTTGAAGGAGCAGTTTTGAAACTCTCTTTTTCTGGAATCTGCAAGTGGATATTTGGCTAGCTTTGGGGATTTCGCTGGAAGCGGGAATACATATAAAAAACACACAGCAGCGTTCTGAGAAACTGCTTTCTGATGTTTGCATTCAAGTCAAAAGTTGAACACTCCCTTTCATAGAGCAGTCTTGAAACACCCCTTTTTTAGTATCTGGAACTGGACTTTTGGAGCGATTTCAGGGCTAAGGTGAAAAAGGAAATATCTTCCCATAAAAACTGGACAGAAGCATTCTCAGAAACTTGTTTATGCTGTATCTACTCAACTAACAAAGTTGAACCTTTCTTTTGATAGAGCAGTTTTGAAATGGTCTTTTTGTGGAATCTGCAAGTGGATATTTGGCTAGTTTTGAGGATTTCGTTGGAAGCGGGAATTCATACAAATTGCAGACTGCAGCGTTCTGAGAAACATCTTTGTGATGTTTGTATTCAGGACACAGAGTTGAACATTCCCTATCATAGAGCAGGTTGGAATCACTCCTTTTGTAGTATCTGGAAGTGGACATTTGGAGCGCTTTCAGGCCTATTTTGGAAAGGGAAATATCTTCCCGTAACAACTATGCAGAAGCATTCTCAGAAACTTGTTTGTGATGTGTGCCCTCTACTGACAGAGTTGAACCTTTCTTTTCATAGAGCAGTTTTGAAACACTCTTTTTGTAGAATCTGCAAGAGGATATTTGCATAGCTTTGAGGATTTCGTGGGAAACGGGATTGTCTTCAGGTAAAATCTAGACAGAAGCATTCTCAGAAACTTCTTTGGGATGTTTGCATTCAAGTCACAGAGTAGAACATTCCCTTTGGTAGAGCAGGTTTGAAACACTCTTTTTGTAGTATCTGGAAGTGGACATTTGGAGCGCTTTCAGGCCCATGTTGGAAAGGGAAATATCTTCCCGTAACAACTAGGCAGAAGCATTCTCAGAAACTTATTTGAGATGTGTGTACTCAACTAAGAGAATTGAACCACCGTTTTGAAGGAGCAGTTTTGAAACACTCTTTTTCTGGAATCTGCAAGAGTATATTTGCCTAGCCTTGAGGATTTCGTTGGAAACGGGATTGTCTTCAGAGAAAATCTAGACAGAAGCATTCTCAGAAACTTCTTTGGGATGTTTGCATTCAAGTCACAGAGTAGAACATTCCCTTTGGTAGAGCAGGTTTGAAACACTCTTTTTTTAGTATATGGAAGTGGACATTTGGATCGCTTTCAGGCCTACGTTGGAAAAGGAAATATCTTCCCATAACAACTAGACAGAAGCATTCTCAGAAACTAGTTTCTGATGTGTGTCCTCAACTAACACAGTTGAACATTTCTTTAGACAGAACAGTTTTGAAACACTCTTTTTGTGGAATCTGCAAGTGGCTATTTGGCTAGATTTGAGGATTTCGTTGGAAACGGGATTACATATAAAAAGCAGTCAGCAGCATTCTCAGAAAGTTCTTTGTGATGATTGCATTCAAGTCACAGAATTGAACATTCCCTTTCACAGAGCAGGTTTGAAACACTCTTTTTGTAGTGTGTGTAAGTGGACATTTGGAGCACTTACCGGCCTAAGGTGAAAAAGGAAATATCTTCCCATAAAAACTAGACAGAAGCATTCTCAGAAACTTACTCGTGATGTGTGTCCTCAACTAAAGGAGTAGAACCTTTCTTTTCATAGAGAAGTTTTGAAACGCTCTTTTTGTGGAATCTGCAAGTGGATATTTGGCTAGTTTTGAGGATTTCGTTGGAAGCGGGAATTCATACAAATTGCAGACTGCAGCGTTCTGAGAAACATCGTTGTGATGTTTGTATTCAGGACACAGAGTTGAACATTCCCTATCATAGAGCAGGTTTGAATCACTCCTTTTGTAGTATCTGGAAGTGGACATTTGGAGCGCTTTCAGGCCTATGTTGGAAAAGGAAATATCTTCCCATAACAACTAGACAGAAGCATTCTCAGAAACTTATTTGAGATGTGTGTACTCAACTAAGAGAATTGAACCACCGTTTTGAAGGAGCAGTTTTGAAACACTCTTTTTCTGGAATCTGCAAGTGGATATTTGGCTAGCTTTGGGGATTTCGCTGGAAGCGGGAATACATATAAAAAGCACACAGCAGCGTTCTGAGAAACTGCTTTCTGATGTTTGCATTCAAGTCAAAAGTTGAACACTCCCTTTCATAGAGCAGTCTTGAAACACCCCTTTTGTAGTATCTGGAACTGGACTTTTGGAGCGCTTTCAGGGCTAAGGTGAAAAAGGAAATATCTTCCCATAAAAACTGGACAGAAGCATTCTCAGAAACTTGTTTATGCTGTATCTACTCAACTAACAAAGTTGAACCTTTCTTTTGATAGAGCAGTTTTGAAATGCTCTTTTTGTGGAATCTGCAAGTGGATATTTGGCTAGTTTTGAGGATTTCGTTGGAAGCGGGAATTCATACAAATTGCAGACTGCAGCGTTCTGAGAAACATCTTTGTGATGTTTGTATTCAGGACAGAGAGTTGAACATTCCCTATCATAGAGCAGGTTGGAATCACTCCTTTTGTAGTATCTGGAAGTGGACATTTGGAGCGCTTTCAGGCCTATGTTGAAAAAGGAAATATCTTCCCATAACAACTAGACACAAGCATTCTCAGAAACTTGTTTGTGATGTGTGCCCTCTACTGACAGAGTTGAACCTTTCTTTTCATAGAGCAGTTTTGAAACACTCTTTTTGTAGAATCTGCAAGAGGATATTTGCATAGCTTTGAGGATTTCGTGGGAAACGGGATTGTCTTCAGGTAAAATCTAGACAGAAGCATTCTCAGAAACTTCTTTGGGATGTTTGCATTCAAGTCACAGAGTAGAACATTCCCTTTGGTAGAGCAGGTTTGAAACACTCTTTTTGTAGTATCTGGAAGTGGACATTTGGAGCGCTTTCAGGCCTATGTTGGAAAGGGAAATATCTTCCCGTAACAACTAGGCAGAAGCATTCTCAGAAACTTATTTGAGATGTGTGTACTCAACTAAGAGAATTGAACCACCGTTTTGAAGGAGCAGTTTTGAAACACTGTTTTTCTGGAATCTGCAAGAGGATATTTGCCTAGCCTTGAGGATTTCGTTGGAAACGGGATTGTCTTCAGATCAAATCTAGACAGAAGCATTCTCAGAAACTTCTTTGGGATGTTTGCATTCAAGTCACAGAGTAGAACATTCCCTTTGGTAGAGCAGGTTTGAAACACTCTTTTTTTAGTATATGGAAGTGGACATTTGGAGCGCATTCAGGCCTACGTTGGAAAAGGAAATATCTTCCCATAACAACTAGACAGAAGCATTCTCAGAAACTAGTTTCTGATGTGTGTCCTCAACTAACACAGTTGCACATTTCTTTAGACAGAACAGTTTTGAAACACTCTTTTTGTGGAATCTGCAAGTGGCTATTTGGCTAGATTTGAGGATTTCGTTGGAAACGGGATTACATATAAAAAGCAGTCAGCAGCATTCTCAGAAACTTCTTTGTGATGATTGCATTCAAGTCACAGAATTGAACATTCCCTTTCACAGAGCAGGTTTGAAATACTCTTTTTTAGTGTGTGTAATTGGACATTTGGAGCACTTTCCGGCCTAAGGTGGAAAAGGAAATATCTTCCCATAAAAACTAGACAGAAGCATTCTCAGAAACTTACTCGTGATGTGTGTCCTCCACTAAATGAGTAGAACCTTTCTTTTCATAGAGAAGTTTTGAAACGCTCTTTTTGTAGAATCTGCAAGAGGATATTTGCATAGCTTTGAGGATTTCGTGGGAAACGGGATTGTCTTCAGGTAAAATCTAGACAGAAGCATTCGGAGAAACTTCTTTGGGATGTTTGCATTCAAGTCACAGAGTAGAACATTCCCTTTGGTAGAGCAGGTTTGAAACACTCTTTTTGTATTATCTGGAAGTGGACATTTGGAGCGCTTTCAGGCCTATGTTGGAAAGGGAAATATCTTCCCGTAACAACTAGGCAGAAGCATTCTCAGAAACTTATTTGAGATGTGTGTACTCAACTAAGAGAATTGAACCACCGTTTTGAAGGAGCAGTTTTGAAACACTCTTTTTCTGGAATCTGCAAGAGGATATTTGCCTAGCCTTGAGGATTTCGTTGGAAACGGGATTGTCTTCAGATCAAATCTAGACAGAAGCATTCTCAGAAACTTCTTTGGGATGTTTGCATTCAAGTCACAGAGTAGAACATTCCCTTTGGTAGAGCAGGTTTGAAACACTCTTTTTTTAGTATATGGAAGTGGACATTTGGAGCGCTTTCAGGCCTACGTTGGAAAAGGAAATATCTTCCCATAACAACTAGACAGAAGCATTCTCAGAAACTAGTTTCTGATGTGTGTCCTCAACTAACACAGTTGAACATTTCTTTAGACAGAACAGTTTTGAAACTCTCTTTTTGTGGAATCTGCAAGTGGCTATTTGGCTAGATTTGAGGATTTCGTTGGAAACGGGATTACATATAAAAAGCAGACAGCAGCATTCTCAGAAAGTTCTTTGTGATGATTGCATTCAAGTCACAGAATTGAACATTCCCTTTCACAGAGCAGGTTTGAAACACTCTTTTTATAGTGTGTGTAAGTGGACATTTGGAGCACTTTCCGGCCTAAGGTGAAAAAGGAAATATCTTCCCATAAAAACTAGACAGAAGCATTCTCAGAAACTTACTCGTGATGTGTGTCCTCAACTAAAGGAGTAGAACCTTTCTTTTCATAGAGAAGTTTTGAAACGCTCTTTTTGTGGAATCTGCAAGTGGATATTTGGCTAGTTTGGAGGATTTCGTTGGAAGCGGGAATTCATACAAATTGCAGACTGCAGCGTTCTGAGAAACATCTTTGTGATGTTTGTATTCAGGACACAGAGTTGAACATTCCCTATCATAGAGCAGGTTGGAATCACTCCTTTTGTAGTATCTGGAAGTGGACATTTGGAGCGCTTTCAGGCCTATGTTGGAAAAGGAAATATCTTCCCATAACAACTAGACAGAAGCATTCTCAGAAACTTATTTGAGATGTGTGTACTCAACTAAGAGAATTGAACCACCGTTTTGAAGGAGCAGTTTTGAAACTCTCTTTTTCTGGAATCTGCAAGTGGATATTTGGCTAGCTTTGGGGATTTCGCTGGAAGCGGGAATACATATAAAAAGCACACAGCAGCGTTCTGAGAAACTGCTTTCTGATGTTTGCATTCAAGTCAAAAGTTGAACACTCCCTTTCATAGAGCAGTCTTGAAACACCCCTTTTGTAGTATCTGGAACTGGACTTTTGGAGCGATTTCAGGGCTAAGGTGAAAAAGGAAATATCTTCCCATAAAAACTGGACAGAAGCTTTCTCAGAAACTTGGTTATGCTGTATCTACTCAACTAACAAAGTTGAACCTTTCTTTTGATAGAGCAGTTTTGAAATGGTCTTTTTGTGGAATCTGCAAGTGGATATTTGGCTAGTTTTGAGGATTTCGTTGGAAGCGGGAATTCATACAAATTGCAGACTGCAGCGTTCTGAGAAACATCTTTGTGATGTTTGTATTCAGGACACAGAGTTGAACATTCCCTATCATAGAGCAGGTTGGAATCACTCCTTTTGTAGTATCTGGAAGTGGACATTTGGAGCGCTTTCAGGCCTATTTTGGAAAGGGAAATATCTTCCCGTAACAACTATGCAGAAGCATTCTCAGAAACTTGTTTGTGATGTGTGCCCTCTACTGACAGAGTTGAACCTTTCTTTTCATAGAGCAGTTTTGAAACACTCTTTTTGTAGAATCTGCAAGAGGATATTTGCATAGCTTTGAGGATTTCGTGGGAAACGGGATTATCTTCAGGTAAAATCTAGACAGAAGCATTCTCAGAAACTTCTTTGGGATGTTTGCATTCAAGTCACAGAGTAGAACATTCCCTTTGGTAGAGCAGGTTTGAAACACTCTTTTTGTAGTATCTGGAAGTGGACATTTGGAGCGCTTTCAGGCCCATGTTGGAAAGGGAAATATCTTCCCGTAACAACTAGGCAGAAGCATTCTCAGAAACTTATTTGAGATGTGTGTACTCAACTAAGAGAATTGAACCACCGTTTTGAAGGAGCAGTTTTGAAACACTCTTTTTCTGGAATCTGCAAGAGTATATTTGCCTAGCCTTGAGGATTTCGTTGGAAACGGGATTGTCTTCAGAGAAAATCTAGACAGAAGCATTCTCAGAAACTTCTTTGGGATGCTTGCATTCAAGTCACAGAGTAGAACATTCCCTTTGGTAGAGCAGGTTTGAAACACTCTTTTTGTAGTATCTGGAAGTGGACATTTGGAGCGCTTTCAGGCCTACGTTGGAAAAGGAAATATCTTCCCATAACAACTAGACAGAAGCATTCTCAGAAACTAGTTTCTGATGTGTGTCCTCAACTAACACAGTTGAACATTTCTTTAGACAGAACAGTTTTGAAACACTCTTTTTGTGGAATCTGCAAGTGGCTATTTGGCTAGATTTGAGGATTTCGTTGGAAACGGGATTACATATAAAAAGCAGTCAGCGGCATTCTCAGAAAGTTCTTTGTGATGATTGCATTCAAGTCACAGAATTGAACATTCCCTTTCACAGAGCAGGTTTGAAACACTCTTTTTGTAGTGTGTGTAAGTGGACATTTGGAGCACTTACCGGCCTAAGGTGAAAAAGGAAATATCTTCCCATAAAAACTAGACAGAAGCATTCTCAGAAACTTACTCGTGATGTGTGTCCTCAACTAAAGGAGTAGAACCTTTCTTTTCATAGAGAAGTTTTGAAACGCTCTTTTTGTGGAATCTGCAAGTGGATATTTGGCTAGTTTGGAGGATTTCGTTGGAAGCGGGAATTCATACAAATTGCAGACTGCAGCGTTCTGAGAAACATCTTTGTGATGTTTGTATTCAGGACACAGAGTTGAACATTCCCTATCATAGAGCAGGTTTGAATCACTCCTTTTGTAGTATCTGGAAGTGGACATTTGGAGCGCTTTCAGGCCTATTTTGGAAAGGGAAATATCTTCCCGTAACAACTATGCAGAAGCATTCTCAGAAACTTATTTGAGATGTGTGTACTCAACTAAGAGAATTGAACCACCGTTTTGAAGGAGCAGTTTTGAAACACTCTTTTTCTGGATTCTGCAAGTGGATATTTGGCTAGCTTTGGGGATTTCGCTGGAAGCGGGAATACATATAAAAAGCACACAGCAGCGTTCTGAGAAACTGCTTTCTGATGTTTGCATTCAAGTCAAAAGTTGAACACTCCCTTTCATAGTGCAGTCCTGAAACACTCCTTTTGTAGTATCTGGAACTGGACTTTTGGAGCGCTTTCAGGGCTAAGGTGAAAAAGGAAATATCTTCCCATAAAAACTGGACAGAAGCATTCTCAGAAACTTGTTTATGCTGTATCTACTCAACTAACAAAGTTGAACCTTTCTTTTGATAGAGCAGTTTTGAAATGCTCTTTTTGTGGAATCTGCAAGTGGATATTTGGCTAGTTTTGAGGATTTCGTTGGAAGCGGGAATTCATACAAATTGCAGACTGCAGCGTTCTGAGAAACATCTTTGTGATGTTTGTATTCAGGACAGAGAGTTGAACATTCCCTATCATAGAGCAGGTTGGAATCACTCCTTTTGTAGTATCTGGAAGTGGACATTTGGAGCACTTTCCGGCCTAAGGTGAAAAAGGAAATATCTTCCCATAAAAACTAGACAGAAGCATTCTGAGAAACTTACTCGTGATGTGTGTCCTCCACTAAATGAGTAGAACCTTTCTTTTCATAGAGAAGTTTTGAAACGCTCTTTTTGTAGAATCTGCAAGAGGATATTTGCATAGCTTTGAGGATTTCGTGGGAAACGGGATTGTCTTCAGGTAAAATCTAGACAGAAGCATTCTCAGAAACTTCTTTGGGATGTTTGCATTCAAGTCACAGAGTAGAACATTCCCTTTGGTAGAGTAGGTTTGAAACACTCTTTTTGTATTATCTGGAAGTGGACATTTGGAGCGCTTTCAGGCCTATGTTGGAAAGGGAAATATCTTCCCGTAACAACTAGGCAGAAGCATTCTCAGAAAGTTATTTGAGATGTGTGTACTCAACTAAGAGAATTGAACCACCGTTTTCAAGGAGCAGTTTTGAAACACTCTTTCTCTGGAATCTGCAAGAGGATATTTGCCTAGCCTTGAGGATTTCGTTGGAAACGGGATTGTCTTCAGATCAAATCTAGACAGAAGCATTCTCAAAAACTTCTTTGGGATGTTTGCATTCAAGTCACAGAGTAGAACATTCCCTTTGGTAGAGCAGGTTTGAAACACTCTTTTTTTAGTATATGGAAGTGGACATTTGGAGTGCTTTCAGGCCTATGTTGGAAAAGGAAATATCTTCCCATAACAACTAGACAGAAGCATTCTCAGAAACTAGTTTCTGATGTGTGTCCTCAACTAACACAGTTGAACATTTCTTTAGACAGAACAGTTTTGAAACACTCTTTTTGTGGAATCTGCAAGTGGCTATTTGGCTAGATTTGAGGATTTCGTTGGAAACGGGATTACATATAAAAAGCAGACAGCAGCATTCTCAGAAAGTTCTTTGTGATGATTGCATTCAAGTCACAGAATTGAACATTCCCTTTCACAGAGCAGGTTTGAAACACTCTTTTTGTAGTGTGTGTAAGTGGACATTTGGAGCACTTTCCGGCCTAAGGTGAAAAAGGAAATATCTTCCCATAAAAACTAGACAGAAACACTCTCAGAAACTTACTCGTGATGTGTGTCCTCAACTAAAGGAGTAGAACCTTTCTTTTCATAGAGAAGTTTTGAAACGCTCTTTTTGTGGAATCTGCAAGTGGATATTTGGCTAGTTTGGAGGATTTCGTTGGAAGCGGGAATTCATACAAATTGCAGACTGCAGCGTTCTGAGAAACTGCTTTCTGATGTTTGCATTCAAGTCAAAAGTTGAACACTCCCTTTCATAGAGCAGTCTTGAAACACCCCTTTTGTAGTATCTGGAACTGGACTTTTGGAGCGATTTCACGGCTAAGGTGAAAAAGGAAATATCTTCCCATAAAAACTGGACAGAAGCATTCTCAGAAACTTATTTGAGATGTGTGTACTCAACTAAGAGAATTGAACCACCGTTTTGAAGGAGCAGTTTTGAAACACTCTTTTTCTGGAATCTGCAAGTGGATATTTGGCTAGCTTTGGGGATTTCGCTGGAAGCGGGAATACATATAAAAAGCACACAGCAGCGTTCTGAGAAACTGCTTTCTGATGTTTGCATTCAAGTCAAAAGTTGAACACTCCCTTTCATAGAGCAGTCCTGAAACACCCCTTTTGTAGTATCTGGAACTGGACTTTTGGAGCGCTTTCAGGGCTAAGGTGAAAAAGGAAATATCTTCCCATAAAAACTGGACAGAAGCATTCTCAGAAACTTGTTTATGCTGTATCTACTCAACTAACAAAGTTGAACCTTTCTTTTGATAGAGCAGTTTTGAAATGGTCTTTTTGTGGAATCTGCAAGTGGATATTTGGCTAGTTTTGAGGATTTCGTTGGAAGCGGGAATTCATACAAATTGCAGACTGCAGCGTTCTGAGAAACATCTTTGTGATGTTTGTATTCAGGACACAGAGTTGAACATTCCCTATCATAGAGCAGGTTGGAATCACTCCTTTTGTAGTATCTGGAAGTGGACATTTGGGAGCGCTTTCAGGCCTATTTTGGAAAGGGAAATATCTTCCCGTAACAACTATGCAGAAGCATTCTCAGAAACTTGTTTGTGATGTGTGCCCTCTACTGACAGAGTTGAACCTTTCTTTTCATAGAGCAGTTTTGAAACACTCTTTTTGTAGAATCTGCAAGAGGATATTTGCATAGCTTTGAGGATTTCGTGGGAAACGGGATTGTCTTCAGGTAAAATCTAGACAGAAGCATTCTCAGAAACTTCTTTGGGATGTTTGCATTCAAGTCACAGAGTAGAACATTCCCTTTGGTAGAGCAGGTTTGAAACACTCTTTTTGTAGTATCTGGAAGTGGACATTTGGAGCGCTTTCAGGCCCATGTTGGAAAGGGAAATATCTTCCCGTAACAACTAGGCAGAAGCATTCTCAGAAACTTATTTGAGATGTGTGTACTCAACTAAGAGAATTGAACCACCGTTTTGAAGGAGCAGTTTTGAAACACTCTTTTTCTGGAATCTGCAAGAGTATATTTGCCTAGCCTTGAGGATTTCGTTGGAAACGGGATTGTCTTCAGAGAAAATCTAGACAGAAGTATTCTCAGAAACTTCTTTGGGATGTTTGCATTCAAGTCACAGAGTAGAACATTCCCTTTGGTAGAGCAGGTTTGAAACACTCTTTTTGTAGTATCTGGAAGTGGACATTTGGAGCGCTTTCAGGCCTACGTTGGAAAAGGAAATATCTTCCCATAACAACTAGACAGAAGCATTCTCAGAAACTAGTTTCTGATGTGTGTCCTCAACTAACACAGTTGAACATTTCTTTAGACAGAACAGTTTTGAAACACTCTTTTTGTGGAATCTGCAAGTGGCTATTTGGCTAGATTTGAGGATTTCGTTGGAAACGGGATTACATATAAAAAGCAGTCAGCAGCATTCTCAGAAAGTTCTTTGTGATGATTGCATTCAAGTCACAGAATTGAACATTCCCTTTCACAGAGCAGGTTTGAAACACTCTTTTTGTAGTGTGTGTAAGTGGACATTTGGAGCACTTACCGGCCTAAGGTGAAAAAGGAAATATCTTCCCATAAAAACTAGACAGAAGCATTCTCAGAAACTTACTCGTGATGTGTGTCCTCAACTAAAGGAGTAGAACCTTTCTTTTCATAGAGAAGTTTTGAAACGCTCTTTTTGTGGAATCTGCAAGTGGATATTTGGCTAGTTTTGAGGATTTCGTTGGAAGCGGGAATTCATACAAATTGCAGACTGCAGCGTTCTGAGAAACATCTTTGTGATGTTTGTATTCAGGACACAGAGTTGAACATTCCCTATCATAGAGCAGGTTTGAATCACTCCTTTTGTAGTGTCTGGAAGTGGACATTTGGAGCGCTTTCAGGCCTATGTTGGAAAAGGAAATATCTTCCCATAACAACTAGACAGAAGCATTCCCAGAAACTTATTGGAGATGTGTGTACTCAACTATGAGAATTGAACCACCGTTTTGAAGGAGCAGTTTGGAAACACTCTTTTTCTGGAATCTGCAAGTGGATATTTGGCTAGCTTTGGGGATTTCGCTGGAAGCGGGAATACATATAAAAAGCACACAGCAGCGTTCTGAGAAACTGCTTTCTGATGTTTGCATTCAAGTCAAAAGTTGAACACTCCCTTTCATAGAGCAGTCCTGAAACACTCCTTTTGTAGTATCTGGAACTGGACTTTTGGAGCGCTTTCAGGGCTAAGGTGAAAAAGGAAATATCTTCCCATAAAAACTGGACAGAAGCATTCTCAGAAACTTGTTTATGCTGTATCTACTCAACTAACAAAGTTGAACCTTTCTTTTGATAGAGCAGTTTTGAAATGCTCTTTTTGTGGAATCTGCAAGTGGATATTTGGCTAGTTTTGAGGATTTCGCTGGAAGCGGGAATTCATACAAATTGCAGACTGCAGCGTTCTGAGAAACATCTTTGTGATGTTTGTATTCAGGACAGAGAGTTGAACATTCCCTATCATAGAGCAGGTTGGAATCACTCCTTTTGTAGTATCTGGAAGTGGACATTTGGAGCGCTTTCAGGGCTATGTTGAAAAAGGAAATATCTTCCCATAACAACTAGACACAAGCATTCTCAGAAACTTGTTTGTGATGTGTGCCCTCTACTGACAGAGTTGAACCTTTCTTTTCATAGAGCAGTTTTGAAACACTCTTTTTGTAGGATCTGCAAGAGGATATTTGCATAGCTTTGAGGATTTCGTGAGAAACGGGATTGTCTTCAGGTAAAATCTAGACAGAAGCATTCTCAGAAACTTCTTTGGGATGTTTGCATTCAAGTCACAGAGCAGAACATTCCCTTTGGTAGAGCAGGTTTGAAACACTCTTTTTGTAGTATCTGGAAGTGGACATTTGGAGCGCTTTCAGGCCTATGTTGGAAAGGGAAATATCTTCCCGTAACAACTAGGCAGAAGCATTCTCAGAAACTTATTTGAGATGTGTGTACTCAACTAAGAGAATTGAACCACCGTTTTGAAGGAGCAGTTTTGAAACACTCTTTTTCTGGAATCTGCAAGAGTATATTTGCCTAGCCTTGAGGATTTCGTTGGAAACGGGATTGTCTTCAGAGAAAATCTAGACAGAAGCATTCTCAGAAACTTCTTTGGGATGTTTGCATTCAAGTCACAGAGTAGAACATTCCCTTTGGTAGAGCAGGTTTGAAACACTCTTTTTTTAGTATATGGAAGTGGACATTTGGAGCGCTTTCAGGCCTACGTTGGAAAAGGAAATATCTTCCCATAACAACTAGACAGAAGCATTCTCAGAAACTAGTTTCTGATGTGTGTCCTCAACTAACACAGTTGAACATTTCTTTAGACAGAACAGTTTTGAAACACTCTTTTTGTGGAATCTGCAAGTGGCTATTTGGCTAGATTTGAGGATTTCGTTGGAAACGGGATTACATATAAAAAGCAGTCAGCAGCATTCTCAGAAAGTTCTTTGTGATGATTGCATTCAAGTCACAGAATTGAACATTCCCTTTCACAGAGCAGGTTTGAAACACTCTTTTTGTAGTGTGTGTAAGTGGACATTTGGAGCGCTTTCCGGCCTAAGGTGAAAAAGGAAATATCTTCCCATAAAAACTAGACAGAAGCATTCTCAGAAACTTACTCGTGATGTGTGTCCTCAACTAAAGGAGTAGAACCTTTCTTTTCATAGAGAAGTTTTGAAACGCTCTTTTTGTGGAATCTGCAAGTGGATATTTGGCTAGTTTGGAGGATTTCGTTGGAAGCGGGAATTCATACAAGATGCAGACTGCAGCGTTCTGAGAAACATCTTTGTGATGTTTGTATTCAGGACACAGAGTTGAACATTCCCTATCATAGAGCAGGTTTGAATCACTCCTTTTGTAGTATCTGGAAGTGGACATTTGGAGCGCTTTCAGGCCTATGTTGGAAAAGGAAATATCTTCCCATAACAACTAGACAGAAGCATTCCCAGAAACTTATTTGAGATGTGTGTACTCAACTAAGAGAATTGAACCACCGTTTTGAAGGAGCAGTTTGGAAACACTCTTTTTCTGGAATCTGCAAGTGGATATTTGGCTAGCTTTGGGGATTTCGCTGGAAGCGGGAATACATATAAAAAGCACACAGCAGCGTTCTGAGAAACTGCTTTCTGATGTTTGCATTCAAGTCAAAAGTTGAACACTCCCTTTCATAGAGCAGTCTTGAAACACCCCTTTTGTAGTATCTGGAACTGGAAATTTGGAGCGCTTTCAGGGCTAAGGTGAAAAAGGAAATATCTTCCCATAAAAACTGGACAGAAGCATTCTCAGAAACTTGTTTATGCTGTATCTGCTCAACTAACAAAGTTGAACCTTTCTTTTGATAGAGCAGTTTTGAAATGCTCTTTTTGTGGAATCTGCAAGTGGATATTTGGCTAGTTTTGAGGATTTCGTTGGAAGCGGGAATTCATACAAATTGCAGACTGCAGCGTTCTGAGAAACATCTTTGTGATGTTTGTATTCAGGACACAGAGTTGAACATTCCCTATCATAGAGCAGGTTGGGATCACTCCTTTTGTAGTATCTGGAAGTGGACATTTGGAGCGCTTTCAGGCCTATGTTGAAAAAGGAAAAATCTTCCCATAACAACTAGACAGAAGCATTCTCAGAAACTTGTTGGTGATGTGTTTCCTCTACTGACAGAGTTGAACCTTTCTTTTCATAGAGCAGTTTCGAAACACTCTTTTTGTAGAATCTGCAAGAGGATATTTGCATAGCTCTGAGGATTTCGTGGGAAACGGGATTGTCTTCAGGTAAAATCTAGACAGAAGCATTCTCAGAAACTTCTTTGGGATGTTTGCATTCAAGTCACAGAGTAGAACATTCCCTTTGGTAGAGCAGGTTTGAAACACTCTTTTTGTAGTATCTGGAAGTGGACATTTGGAGCGCTTTCAGGCCTATGTTGGAAAGGGAAATATCTTCCCGTAACAACTAGGCAGAAGCATTCTCAGAAACTTATTTGAGATGTGTGTACTCAACTAAGAGAATTGAACCACCGTTTTGAAGGAGCAGTTTTGAAACACTCTTTTTCTGGAATCTGCAAGTGGATATTTGGCTAGCTTTGGGGATTTCGCTGGAGGCGGGAATACATATAAAAAGCACACAGCAGCGTTCTGAGAAACTGCTTTCTGATGTTTGCATTCAAGTCAAAAGTTGAACACTCCCTTTCATAGAGCAGTCCTGAAACACTCCTTTTGTAGTATCTGGAACTGGACTTTTGGAGCGCTTTCAGGGCTAAGGTGAAAAAGGAAATATCTTCCCATAAAAACTGGACAGAAGCATTCTCAGAAACTTGTTTATGCTGTATCTACTCAACTAACAAAGTTGAACCTTTCTTTTGATAGAGCAGTTTTGAAATGCTCTTTTTGTGGAATCTGCAAGTGGATATTTGGCTAGTTTTGAGGATTTCGTTGGAAGCGGGAATTCATACAAATTGCAGACTGCAGCGTTCTGAGAAACATCTTTGTGATGTTTGTATTCAGGACAGAGAGTTGAACATTCCCTATCATAGAGCAGGTTGGAATCACTCCTTTTGTAGTATCTGGAAGTGGACATTTGGAGCGCTTTCAGGCCTATGTTGAAAAAGGAAATATCTTCCCATAACAACTAGACACAAGCATTCTCAGAAACTTGTTTGTGATGTGTGCCCTCTACTGACAGAGTTGAACCTTTCTTTTCATAGAGCAGTTTTGAAACACTCTTTTTGTAGAATCTGCAAGAGGATATTTGCATAGCTTTGAGGATTTCGTGGGAAACGGGATTGTCTTCAGGTAAAATCTAGACAGAAGCATTCTCAGAAACTTCTTTGGGATGTTTGCATTCAAGTCACAGAGTAGAACATTCCCTTTGGTAGAGCAGGTTTGAAACACTCTTTTTGTAGTATCTGGAAGTGGACATTTGGAGCGCTTTCAGGCCTATGTTGGAAAGGGAAATATCTTCCCGTAACAACTAGGCAGAAGCATTCTCAGAAACTTATTTGAGATGTGTGTACTCAACTAAGAGAATTGAACCACCGTTTTGAAGGAGCAGTTTTGAAACACTCTTTTTCTGGAATCTGCAAGAGGATATTTGCCTAGCCTTGAGGATTTCGTTGGAAACGGGATTGTCTTCAGATCAAATCTAGACAGAAGCATTCTCAGAAACTTCTTTGGGATGTTTGCATTCAAGTCACAGAGTAGAACATTCCCTTTGGTAGAGCAGGTTTGAAACACTCTTTCTTTAGTATATGGAAGTGGACATTTGGAGCGCTTTCAGGCCTACGTTGGAAAAGGAAATATCTTCCCATAACAACTAGACAGAAGCATTCTCAGAAACTAGTTTCTGATGTGTGTCCTCAACTAACACAGTTGAACATTTCTTTAGACAGAACAGTTTTGAAACACTCTTTTTGTGGAATCTGCAAGTGGCTATTTGGCTAGATTTGAGGATTTCGTTGGAAACGGGATTACATATAAAAAGCAGACAGCAGCATTCTCAGAACTTTCTTTGTGATGATTGCATTCAAGTCACAGAATTGAACATTCCCTTTCACAGAGCAGGTTTGAAACACTCTTTTTGTAGTGTGTGTAAGTGGACATTTGGAGCACTTTCCGGCCTAAGGTGAAAAAGGAAATATCTTCCCATAAAAACTAGACAGAAGCATTCTCAGAAACTTACTCGTGATGTGTGTCCTCAACTAAAGGAGTAGAACCTTTCTTTTCATAGAGAAGTTTTGAAACGCTCTTTTTGTGGAATCTGCAAGTGGATATTTGGCTAGTTTGGAGGATTTCGTTGGAAGCGGGAATTCATACAAATTGCAGACTGCAGCGTTCTGAGAAACATCTTTGTGATGTTTGTATTCAGGACACAGAGTTGAACATTCCCTATCATAGAGCAGGTTGGAATCACTCCTTTTGTAGTATCTGGAAGTGGCCATTTCGAGCGCTTTGAGGCCTATGTTGAAAAAGGAAATATCTTCCCATAACAAGTAGACACAAGCATTCTCAGAAACTTATTTGAGATGTGTGTACTCAACTAAGAGAATTGAACCACCGTTTTGAAGGAGCAGTTTTGAAACACTCTTTTTCTGGAATCTGCAAGTGGATATTTGGCTAGCTTTGGGGATTTCGCTGGAAGCGGGAATACATATAAAAAGCACACAGCAGCGTTCTGAGAAACTGCTTTCTGATGTTTGCATTCAAGTCAAAAGTTGAACACTCCCTTTCATAGAGCAGTCCTGAAACACCCCTTTTGTAGTATCTGGAACTGGACTTTTGGAGCGATTTCAGGGCTAAGGTGAAAAAGGAAATATCTTCCCATAAAAACTGGACAGAAGCATTCTCAGAAACTTGTTTATGCTGTATCTACTCAACTAACAAAGTTGAACCTTTCTTTTGATAGAGCAGTTTTGAAATGCTCTTTTTGTGGAATCTGCAAGTGGATATTTGGCTAGTTTTGAGGATTTCGTTGGAAGCGGGAATTCATACAAATTGCAGACTGCAGCGTTCTGAGAAACATCTTTGTGATGTTTGTATTCAGGACACAGAGTTGAACATTCCCTATCATAGAGCAGGTTGGAATCACTCCTTTTGTAGTATCTGGAAGTGGACATTTGGAGCGCTTTCAGGCCTATTTTGGAAAGGGAAATATCTTCCCGTAACAACTATGCAGAAGCATTCTCAGAAACTTGTTTGTGATGTGTGCCCTCTACTGACAGAGTTGAACCTTTCTTTTCATAGAGCAGTTTTGAAACACTCTTTTTGTAGAATCTGCAAGAGGTTATTTGCATAGCTTTGAGGATTTCGTGGGAAACGGGATTGTCTTCAGGTAAAATCTAGACAGAAGCATTCTCAGAAACTTCTTTGGGATGTTTGCATTCAAGTCACAGAGTAGAACATTCCCTTTGGTAGAGCAGGTTTGAAACACTCTTTTTGTAGTATCTGGAAGTGGACATTTGGAGCGCTTTCAGGCCCATGTTGGAAAGGGAAATATCTTCCCGTAACAACTAGGCAGAAGCATTCTCAGAAACTTATTTGAGATGTGTGTACTCAACTAAGAGAACTGAACCACCGTTTTGAAGGAGCAGTTTTGAAACCCTCTTTTTCTGGAATCTGCAAGAGTATATTTGCCTAGCCTTGAGGATTTCGTTGGAAACGGGACTGTCTTCAGATAAAATCTAGACAGAAGCATTCTCAGAAACTTCTTTGGGATGTTTGCATTCAAGTCACAGAGTAGAACATTCCCTTTGGTAGAGCAGGTTTGAAACACTCTTTTTTTAGTATATGGAAGTGGACATTTGGATCGCTTTCAGGCCTACGTTGGAAAAGGAAATATCTTCCCATAACAACTAGACAGAAGCATTCTCAGAAACTAGTTTCTGATGTGTGTCCTCAACTAACACAGTTGAACATTTCTTTAGACAGAACAGTTTTGAAACACTCTTTTTGTGGAATCTGCAAGTGGCTATTTGGCTAGATTTGAGGATTTCGTTGGAAACGGGATTACATATAAAAAGCAGTCAGCAGCATTCTCAGAAAGTTCTTTGTGATGATTGCATTCAAGTCACAGAATTGAACATTCCCTTTCACAGAGCAGGTTTGAAACACTCTTTTTGTAGTGTGTGTAAGTGGACATTTGGAGCACTTACCGGCCTAAGGTGAAAAAGGAAATATCTTCCCATAAAAACTAGACAGAAGCATTCTCAGAAACTTACTCGTGATGTGTGTCCTCAACTAAAGGAGTAGAACCTTTCTTTTCATAGAGAAGTTTTGAAACGCTCTTTTTGTGGAATCTGCAAGTGGATATTTGGCTAGTTTTGAGGATTTCGTTGGAAGCGGGAATTCATACAAATTGCAGACTGCAGCGTTCTGAGAAACATCTTTGTGATGTTTGTATTCAGGACACAGAGTTGAACATTCCCTATCATAGAGCAGGTTTGAATCACTCCTTTTGTAGTATCTGGAAGTGGACATTTGGAGCGCTTTCAGGCCTATGTTGGAAAAGGAAATATCTTCCCATAACAACTAGACAGAAGCATTCTCAGAAACTTATTTGAGATGTGTGTACTCAACTAAGAGAATTGAACCACCGTTTTGAAGGAGCAGTTTTGAAACTCTCTTTTTCTGGAATCTGCAAGTGGATATTTGGCTAGCTTTGGGGATTTCGCTGGAAGCGGGAATACATATAAAAAGCACACAGAAGCGTTCTGAGAAACTGCTTTCTGATGTTTGCATTCAAGTCAAAAGTTGAACACTCCCTTTCATAGAGCAGTCTTGAAACACCCCTTTTGTAGTATCTGGAACTGGACTTTTGGAGCGATTTCAGGGCTAAGGTGAAAAAGGAAATATCTTCCCATAAAAACTGGACAGAAGCATTCTCAGAAACTTGGTTATGCTGTATCTACTCAACTAACAAAGTTGAACCTTTCTTTTGATAGAGCAGTTTTGAAATGGTCTTTTTGTGGAATCTGCAAGTGGATATTTGGCTAGTTTTGAGGATTTCGTTGGAAGCGGGAATTCATACAAATTGCAGACTGCAGCGTTCTGAGAAACATCTTTGTGATGTTTGTATTCAGGACACAGAGTTGAACATTCCCTATCATAGAGCAGGTTGGAATCACTCCTTTTGTAGTATCTGGAAGTGGACATTTGGAGCGCTTTCAGGCCTATTTTGGAAAGGGAAATATCTTCCCGTAACAACTATGCAGAAGCATTCTCAGAAACTTGTTTGTGATGTGTGCCCTCTACTGACAGAGTTGAACCTTTCTTTTCATAGAGCAGTTTTGAAACACTCTTTTTGTAGAATCTGCAAGAGGATATTTGCATAGCTTTGAGGATTTCGTGGGAAACGGGATTGTCTTCAGGTAAAATCTAGACAGAAGCATTCTCAGAAACTTCTTTGGGATGTTTGCATTCAAGTCACAGAGTAGAACATTCCCTTTGGTAGAGCAGGTTTGAAACACTCTTTTTGTAGTATCTGGAAGTGGACATTTGGAGCGCTTTCAGGCCCATGTTGGAAAGGGAAATATCTTCCCGTAACAACTAGGCAGAAGCATTCTCAGAAACTTATTTGAGATGTGTGTACTCAACTAAGAGAATTGAACCACCGTTTTGAAGGAGCAGTTTTGAAACACTCTTTTTCTGGAATCTGCAAGAGTATATTTGCCTAGCCTTGAGGATTTCGTTGGAAACGGGATTGTCTTCAGAGAAAATCTAGACAGAAGCATTCTCAGAAACTTCTTTGGGATGCTTGCATTCAAGTCACAGAGTAGAACATTCCCTTTGGTAGAGCAGGTTTGAAACACTCTTTTTGTAGTATCTGGAAGTGGACATTTGGAGCGCTTTCAGGCCTACGTTGGAAAAGGAAATATCTTCCCATAACAACTAGACAGAAGCATTCTCAGAAACTAGTTTCTGATGTGTGTCCTCAACTAACACAGTTGAACATTTCTTTAGACAGAACAGTTTTGAAACACTCTTTTTGTGGAATCTGCAAGTGGCTATTTGGCTAGATTTGAGGATTTCGTTGGAAACGGGATTACATATAAAAAGCAGTCAGCAGCATTCTCAGAAAGTTCTTTGTGATGATTGCATTCAAGTCACAGAATTGAACATTCCCTTTCACAGAGCAGGTTTGAAACACTCTTTTTGTAGTGTGTGTAAGTGGACATTTGGAGCACTTACCGGCCTAAGGTGAAAAAGGAAATAATCTTCCCATAAAAACTAGACAGAAGCATTCTCAGAAACTTACTCGTGATGTGTGTCCTCAACTAAAGGAGTAGAACCTTTCTTTTCATAGAGAAGTTTTGAAACGCTCTTTTTGTGGAATCTGCAAGTGGATATTTGGCTAGTTTTGAGGATTTCGTTGGAAGCGGGAATTCATACAAATTGCAGACTGCAGCGTTCTGAGAAACATCTTTGTGATGTTTGTATTCAGGACACAGAGTTGAACATTCCCTATCATAGAGCAGGTTGGAATCACTCCTTTTGTAGTATCTGGAAGTGGACATTTGGAGCGCTTTCAGGCCTATGTTGGAAAAGGAAATATCTTCCCATAACAACTAGACAGAAGCATTCTCAGAAACTTATTTGAGATGTGTGTACTCAACTAAGAGAATTGAACCACCGTTTTGAAGGAGCAGTTTTGAAACTCTCTTTTTCTGGAATCTGCAAGTGGATATTTGGCTAGCTTTGGGGATTTCGCTGGAAGCGGGAATACATATAAAAAGCACACAGCAGCGTTCTGAGAAACTGCTTTCTGATGTTTGCATTCAAGTCAAAAGTTGAACACTCCCTTTCATAGAGCAGTCTTGAAACACCCCTTTTGTAGTATCTGGAACTGGACTTTTGGAGCGATTTCAGGGCTAAGGTGAAAAAGGAAATATCTTCCCATAAAAACTGGACAGAAGCATTCTCAGAAACTTGGTTATGCTGTATCTACTCAACTAACAAAGTTGAACCTTTCTTTTGATAGAGCAGTTTTGAAATGGTCTTTTTGTGGAATCTGCAAGTGGATATTTGGCTAGTTTTGAGGATTTCGTTGGAAGCGGGAATTCATACAAATTGCAGACTGCAGCGTTCTGAGAAACATCTTTGTGATGTTTGTATTCAGGACACAGAGTTGAACATTCCCTATCATAGAGCAGGTTGGAATCACTCCTTTTGTAGTATCTGGAAGTGGACATTTGGAGCGCTTTCAGGCCTATTTTGGAAAGGGAAATATCTTCCCGTAACAACTATGCAGAAGCATTCTCAGAAACTTGTTTGTGATGTGTGCCCTCTACTGACAGAGTTGAACCTTTCTTTTCATAGAGCAGTTTTGAAACACTCTTTTTGTAGAATCTGCAAGAGGATATTTGCATAGCTTTGAGGATTTCGTGGGAAACGGGATTGTCTTCAGGTAAAATCTAGACAGAAGCATTCTCAGAAACTTCTTTGGGATGTTTGCATTCAAGTCACAGAGTAGAACATTCCCTTTGGTAGAGCAGGTTTGAAACACTCTTTTTGTAGTATCTGGAAGTGGACATTTGGAGCGCTTTCAGGCCCATGTTGGAAAGGGAAATATCTTCCCGTAACAACTAGGCAGAAGCATTCTCAGAAACTTATTTGAGATGTGTGTACTCAACTAAGAGAATTGAACCACCGTTTTGAAGGAGCAGTTTTGAAACACTCTTTTTCTGGAATCTGCAAGAGGATATTTGCCTAGCCTTGAGGATTTCGTTGGAAACGGGATTGTCTTCAGATCAAATCTAGACAGAAGCATTCTCAGAAACTTCTTTGGGATGTTTGCATTCAAGTCACAGATTAGAACATTCCCTTTGGTAGAGCAGGTTTGAAACACTCTTTTTTTAGTATATGGAAGTGGACATTTGGAGCGCTTTCAGGCCTACGTTGGAAAAGGAAATATCTTCCCATAACAACTAGACAGAAGCATTCTCAGAAACTAGTTTCTGATGTGTGTCCTCAACTAACACAGTTGAACATTTCTTTAGACAGAACAGTTTTGAAACACTCTTTTTGTGGAATCTGCAAGTGGCTATTTGGCTAGATTTGAGGATTTCGTTGGAAACGGGATTACATATAAAAAGCAGTCAGCAGCATTCTCAGAAAGTTCTTTGTGATGATTGCATTCAAGTCACAGAATTGAACATTCCCTTTCACAGAGCAGGTTTGAAACACTCTTTTTGTAGTGTGTGTAAGTGGACATTTGGAGCACTTACCGGCCTAAGGTGAAAAAGGAAATATCTTCCCATAAAAACTAGACAGAAGCATTCTCAGAAACTTACTCGTGATGTGTGTCCTCAACTAAAGGAGTAGAACCTTTCTTTTCATAGAGAAGTTTTGAAACGCTCTTTTTGTGGAATCTGCAAGTGGATATTTGGCTAGTTTTGAGGATTTCGTTGGAAGCGGGAATTCATACAAATTGCAGACTGCAGCGTTCTGAGAAACATCTTTGTGATGTTTGTATTCAGGACACAGATTTGAACATTCCCTATCATAGAGCAGGTTTGAATCACTCGTTTTGTAGTATCTGGAAGTGGACATTTGGAGCGCTTTCAGGCCTATGTTGGAAAAGGAAATATCTTCCCATAACAACTAGACAGAAGCATTCTCAGAAACTTATTTGAGATGTGTGTACTCAACTAAGAGAATTGAACCACCGTTTTGAAGGAGCAGTTTTGAAGCACTCTTTTTCTGGAATCTGCAAGTGGATATTTGGCTAGCTTTGGGGATTTCGCTGGAAGCGGGAATACATATAAAAAGCACACAGCAGCGTTCTGAGAAACTGCTTTCTGATGTTTGCATTCAAGTCAAAAGTTGAACACTCCCTTTCATAGAGCAGTCTTGAAACACCCCTTTTGTAGTATCTGGAACTGGACTTTTGGAGCGATTTCAGGGCTAAGGTGAAAAAGGAAATATCTTCCCATAAAAACTGGACAGAAGCATTCTCAGAAACTTGTTTATGCTGTATCTACTCAACTAACAAAGTTGAACCTTTCTTTTGATAGAGCAGTTTTGAAATGGTCTTTTTGTGGAATCTGCAAGTGGATATTTGGCTAGTTTTGAGGATTTCGTTGGAAGCGGTAATTCATACAAATTGCAGACTGCAGCATTCTGAGAAACATCTTTGTGATGTTTGTATTCAGGACAGAGAGTTGAACATTCCCTATCATAGAGCAGGTTTGAATCACTCCTTTTGTAGTATCTGGAAGTGGACATTTGGAGCGCTTTCAGGCCTATGTTGAAAAAGGAAATATCTTCCCATAACAACTAGACACAAGCATTCTCAGAAACTTGTTTGTGATGTGTGCCCTCTACTGACAGAGTTGAACCTTTCTTTTCATAGAGCAGTTTTGAAACACTCTTTTTGTAGAATCTGCAAGAGGATATTTGCATAGCTTTGAGGATTTCGTGGGAAACGGGATTGTCTTCAGGTAAAATCTAGACAGAAGCATTCTCAGAAACTTCTTTGGGATGTTTGCATTCAAGTCACAGAGTAGAACATTCCCTTTGGTAGAGCAGGTTTGAAACACTCTTTTTGTAGTATCTGGAAGTGGACATTTGGAGCGCTTTCAGGCCCATGTTGGAAAGGGAAATATCTTCCCGTAACAACTAGGCAGAAGCATTCTCAGAAACTTATTTGAGATGTGTGTACTCAACTAAGAGAATTGAACCACCGTTTTGAAGGAGCAGTTTTGAAACACTCTTTTTCTGGAATCTGCAAGAGTATATTTGCCTAGCCTTGAGGATTTCGTTGGAAACGGGATTGTCTTCAGAGAAAATCTAGACAGAAGCATTCTCAGAAACTTCTTTGGGATGCTTGCATTCAAGTCACAGAGTAGAACATTCCCTTTGGTAGAGCAGGTTTGAAACACTCTTTTTGTAGTATCTGGAAGTGGACATTTGGAGCGCTTTCAGGCCTACGTTGGAAAAGGAAATATCTTCCCATAACAACTAGACAGAAGCATTCTCAGAAACTAGTTTCTGATGTGTGTCCTCAACTAACACAGTTGAACATTTCTTTAGACAGAACAGTTTTGAAACACTCTTTTTGTGGAATCTGCAAGTGGCTATTTGGCTAGATTTGAGGATTTCGTTGGAAACGGGATTACATATAAAAAGCAGTCAGCGGCATTCTCAGAAAGTTCTTTGTGATGATTGCATTCAAGTCACAGAATTGAACATTCCCTTTCACAGAGCAGGTTTGAAACACTCTTTTTGTAGTGTGTGTAAGTGGACATTTGGAGCACTTACCGGCCTAAGGTGAAAAAGGAAATAATCTTCCCATAAAAACTAGACAGAAGCATTCTCAGAAACTTACTCGTGATGTGTGTCCTCAACTAAAGGAGTAGAACCTTTCTTTTCATAGAGAAGTTTTGAAACGCTCTTTTTGTGGAATCTGCAAGTGGATATTTGGCTAGTTTTGAGGATTTCGTTGGAAGCGGGAATTCATACAAATTGCAGACTGCAGCGTTCTGAGAAACATCTTTGTGATGTTTGTATTCAGGACACAGAGTTGAACATTCCCTATCATAGAGCAGGTTGGAATCACTCCTTTTGTAGTATCTGGAAGTGGACATTTGGAGCGCTTTCAGGCCTATGTTGGAAAAGGAAATATCTTCCCATAACAACTAGACAGAAGCATTCTCAGAAACTTATTTGAGATGTGTGTACTCAACTAAGAGAATTGAACCACCGTTTTGAAGGAGCAGTTTTGAAACTCTCTTTTTCTGGAATCTGCAAGTGGATATTTGGCTAGCTTTGGGGATTTCGCTGGAAGCGGGAATACATATAAAAAGCACACAGCAAGCGTTCTGAGAAACTGCTTTCTGATGTTTGCATTCAAGTCAAAAGTTGAACACTCCCTTTCATAGAGCAGTCCTGAAACACTCCTTTTGCAGTATCTGGAACTGGACTTTTGGAGCGCTTTCAGGGCTAAGGTGAAAAAGAAAATATCTTCCCATAAAAACTGGACAGAAGCATTCTCAGGAAACTTGGTTATGCTGTATCTACTCAACTAACAAAGTTGAACCTTTCTTTTGATAGAGCAGTTTTGAAATGGTCTTTTTGTGGAATCTGCAAGTGGATATTTGGCTAGTTTTGAGGATTTCGTTGGAAGCGGGAATTCATACAAATTGCAGACTGCAGCGTTCTGAGAAACATCTTTGTGATGTTTGTATTCAGGACACAGAGATGAACATTCCCTATCATAGAGCAGGTTGGAATCACTCCTTTTGTAGTATCTGGAAGTGGACATTTGGAACGCTTTCAGGCCTATGTTGAAAAAGGAAATATCTTCCCATAACAACTAGACACAAGCATTCTCAGAAACTTGTTTGTGATGTGTGCCCTCTACTGACAGAGTTGAACCTTTCTTTTCATAGAGCAGTTTTGAAACACTCTTTTTGTAGAATCTGCAAGAGGATATTTGCATAGCTTTGAGGATTTCGTGGGAAACGGGATTGTCTTCAGGTAAAATCTAGACAGAAGCATTCTCAGAAACTTCTTTGGGATGTTTGCATTCAAGTCACAGAGTAGAACATTCCCTTTGGTAGAGCAGGTTTGAAACACTCTTTTTGTAGTATCTGGAAGTGGACATTTGGAGCGCTTTCAGGCCTATGTTGGAAAGGGAAATATCTTCCCGTAACAACTAGGCAGAAGCATTCTCAGAAACTTATTTGAGATGTGTGTACTCAACTAAGAGAATTGAACCACCGTTTTGAAGGAGCAGTTTTGAAACACTCTTTTTCTGGAATCTGCAAGAGGATATTTGCCTAGCCTTGAGGATTTCGTTGGAAACGGGATTGTCTTCAGATCAAATCTAGACAGAAGCATTCTCAGAAACTTCTTTGGGATGTTTGCATTCAAGTCACAGAGTAGAACATTCCCTTTGGTAGAGCAGGTTTGAAACACTCTTTTTGTAGTATCTGGAAGTGGACATTTGGAGCGCTTTCAGGCCTATGTTGGAAAGGGAAATATCTTCCCGTAACAACTAGGCAGAAGCATTCTCAGAAACTTATTTGAGATGTGTGTACTCAACTAAGAGAATTGAACCACCGTTTTGAAGGAGCAGTTTTGAAACACTCTTTTTCTGGAATCTGCAAGAGGATATTTGCCTAGCCTTGAGGATTTCGTTGGAAACGGGATTGTCTTCAGATCAAATCTAGACAGAAGCATTCTCAGAAACTTCTTTGGGATGTTTGCATTCAAGTCACAGAGTAGAACATTCCCTTTGGTAGAGCAGGTTTGAAACACTCTTTTTTTAGTATATGGAAGTGGACATTTGGAGCGCTTTCAGGCCTACGTTGGAAAAGGAAATATCTTCCCATAACAACTAGACAGAAGCATTCTCAGAAACTAGTTTCTGAGGTGTGTCCTCAACTAACACAGTTGAACATTTCTTTAGACAGAACAGTTTTGAAACACTCTTTTTGTGGAATCTGCAAGTGGCTATTTGGCTAGATTTGAGGATTTCGTTGGAAACGGGATTACATATAAAAAGCAGACAGCAGCATTCTCAGAAAGTTCTTTGTGATGATTGCATTCAAGTCACAGAATTGAACATTCCCTTTCACAGAGCAGGTTTGAAACACTCTTTTTGTAGTGTGTGTAAGTGGACATTTGGAGCACTTTCCGGCCTAAGGTGAAAAAGGAAATATCTTCCCATAAAAACTAGACAGAAGCATTCTCAGAAACTTACTCGTGATGTGTGTCCTCAACTAAAGGAGTAGAACCTTTCTTTTCATAGAGAAGTTTTGAAACGCTCTTTTTGTGGAATCTGCAAGTGGATATTTGGCTAGTTTTGAGGATTTCGTTGGAAGCGGGAATTCATACAAATTGCAGACTGCAGCGTTCTGAGAAACATCTTTGTGATGTTTGTATTCAGGACACAGAGTTGAACATTCCCTATCATAGAGCAGGTTTGAATCACTCCTTTTGTAGTATCTGGAAGTGGACATTTGGAGCGCTTTCAGGCCTATGTTGGAAAAGGAAATATCTTCCCATAACAACTAGACAGAAGCATTCTCAGAAACTTATTTGAGATGTGTGTACTCAACTAAGAGAATTGAACCACCGTTTTGAAGGAGCAGTTTTGAAACACTCTTTTTCTGGAATCTGCAAGTGGATATTTGGCTAGCTTTGGGGATTTCGCTGGAAGCGGGAATACATATAAAAAGCACACAGCAGCGTTCTGAGAAACTGCTTTCTGATGTTTGCATTCAAGTCAAAAGTTGAACACTCCCTTTCATAGAGCAGTCCTGAATCACTCCTTTTGTAGTATCTGGAACTGGACTTTTGGAGCGCTTTCAGGGCTAAGGTGAAAAAGGAAATATCTTCCCATAAAAACTGGACAGAATCATTCTCAGAAACTTGTTTATGCTGTATCTACTCAACTAACATAGTTGAACCTTTCTTTTGATAGAGCAGTTTTGAAATGCTCTTTTTGTGGAATCTGCAAGTGGATATTTGGCTAGTTTTGAGGATTTCGTTGGAAGCGGGAATTCATACAAATTGCAGACTGCAGCGTTCTGAGAAACATCTTTGTGATGTTTGTATTCAGGACAGAGAGTTGAACACTCCCTATCATAGAGCAGGTTGGAATCACTCCTTTTGTAGTATCTGGAAGTGGACATTTGGAGCGCTTTCAGGCCTATGTTGAAAAAGGAAATATCTTCCCATAACAACTAGACACAAGCATTCTCAGAAACTTGTTTGTGATGTGTGCCCTCTACTGACAGAGTTGAACCTTTCTTTTCATAGAGCAGTTTTGAAACACTCTTTTTGTAGAATCTGCAAGAGGATATTTGCATAGCTTTGAGGATTTCGTGGGAAACGGGATTGTCTTCAGGTAAAATCTAGACAGAAGCATTCTCAGAAACTTCTTTGGGATGTTTGCATTCAAGTCACAGAGTAGAACATTCCCTTTGGTAGAGCAGGTTTGAAACACTCTTTTTGTAGTATCTGGAAGTGGACATTTGGAGCGCTTTCAGGCCTATGTTGGAAAGGGAAATATCTTCCCGTAACAACTAGGCAGAAGCATTCTCAGAAACTTATTTGAGATGTGTGCACTCAACTAAGAGAATTGAACCACCGTTTTGAAGGAGCAGTTTTGAAACACTCTTTTTCTGGAATCTGCAAGAGGATATTTGCCTAGCTTTGAGGATTTCGTTGGAAACGGGATTGTGTTCAGATCAAATCTAGACAGAAGCATTCTCAGAAACTTCTTTGGGATGTTTGCATTCAAGTCACAGAGTAGAACATTCCCTTTGGTAGAGCAGGTTTGAAACACTCTTTTTTTAGTATATGGAAGTGGACATTTGGAGCGCATTCAGGCCTACGTTGGAAAAGGAAATATCTTCCCATAACAACTAGACAGAAGCATTCTCAGAAACTAGTTTCTGATGTGTGTCCTCAACTAACACAGTTGCACATTTCTTTAGACAGAACAGTTTTGAAACACTCTTTTTGTGGAATCTGCAAGTGGCTATTTGGCTAGATTTGAGGATTTCGTTGGAAACGGGATTACATATAAAAAGCAGTCAGCAGCATTCTCAGAAAGTTCTTTGTGATGATTGCATTCAAGTCACAGAATTGAACATTCCCTTTCACAGAGCAGGTTTGAAATACTCTTTTTTAGTGTGTGTAATTGGACATTTGGAGCACTATCCGGCCTAAGGTGAAAAAGGAAATATCTTCCCATAAAAACTAGACAGAAGAATTCTCAGAAACTTACTCGTGATGTGTGTCCTCCACTAAATGAGTAGAACCTTTCTTTTCATAGAGAAGTTTTGAAACGCTCTTTTTGTAGAATCTGCAAGAGGATATTTGCATAGCTTTGAGGATTTCGTGGGAAACGGGATTGTCTTCAGGTAAAATCTAGACAGAAGCATTCTCAGAAACTTCTTTGGGATGTTTGCATTCAAGTCACAGAGTAGAACATTCCCTTTGGTAGAGCAGGTTTGAAACACTCTTTTTGTAGTATCTGGAAGTGGACATTTGGAGCGCTTTCAGGCCCATGTTGGAAAGGGAAATATCTTCCCGTAACAACTAGGCAGAAGCATTCTCAGAAACTTATTTGAGATGTGTGTACTCAACTAAGAGAATTGAACCACCGTTTTGAAGGAGCAGTTTTGAAACACTCTTTTTCTGGAATCTGCAAGAGTATATTTGCCTAGCCTTGAGGATTTCGTTGGAAACGGGATTGTCTTCAGAGAAAATCTAGACAGAAGCATTCTCAGAAACTTCTTTGGGATGTTTGCATTCAAGTCACAGAGTAGAACATTCCCTTTGGTAGAGCAGGTTTGAAACACTCTTTTTGTAGTATCTGGAAGTGGACATTTGGATCGCTTTCAGGCCTACGTTGGAAAAGGAAATATCTTCCCATAACAACTAGACAGAAGCATTCTCAGAAACTAGTTTCTGATGTGTGTCCTCAACTAACACAGTTGAACATTTCTTTAGACAGAACAGTTTTGAAACACTCTTTTTGTGGAATCTGCAAGTGGCTATTTGGCTAGATTTGAGGATTTCGTTGGAAACGGGATTACATATAAAAAGCAGTCAGCAGCATTCTCAGAAAGTTCTTTGTGATGATTGCATTGAAGTCACAGAATTGAACATTCCCTTTCACAGAGCAGGTTTGAAACACTCTTTTTGTAGTGTGTGTAAGTGGACATTTGGAGCACTTACCGGCCTAAGGTGAAAAAGGAAATATCTTCCCATAAAAACTAGACAGAAGCATTCTCAGAAACTTACTCGTGATGTGTGTCCTCAACTAAAGGAGTAGAACCTTTCTTTTCATAGAGAAGTTTTGAAACGCTCTTTTTGTGGAATCTGCAAGTGGATATTTGGCTAGTTTTGAGGATTTCGTTGGAAGCGGGAATTCATACAAATTGCAGACTGCAGCGTTCTGAGAAACATCTTTGTGATGTTTGTATTCAGGACACAGAGTTGAACATTCCCTATCATAGAGCAGGTTTGAATCACTCCTTTTGTAGTATCTGGAAGTGGACATTTGGAGCGCTTTCAGGCCTATGTTGGAAAAGGAAATATCTTCCCATAACAACTAGACAGAAGCATTCTCAGAAACTTATTTGAGATGTGTGTACTCAACTAAGAGAATTGAACCACCGTTTTGAAGGAGCAGTTTTGAAACACTCTTTTTCTGGAATCTGCAAGTGGCTCTTTGGCTAGCTTTGGGGATTTCGCTGGAAGCGGGAATACATATAAAAAGCACACAGCAGCGTTCTGAGAAACTGCTTTCTGCTGTTTGCATTCAAGTCAAAAGTTGAACACTCCCTTTCATAGAGCAGTCTTGAAACACCCCTTTTGTAGTATCTGGAACTGGAAATTTGGAGCGCTTTCAGGGCTAAGGTGAAAAAGGAAATATCTTCCCATAAAAACTGGACAGAAGCATTCTCAGAAACTTGTTTATGCTGTATCTACTCTACTAACAAAGTTGAACCTTTCTTTTGATAGAGCAGTTTTGAAATGCTCTTTTTGTGGAATCTGCAAGTGGATATTTGGCTAGATTTGAGGATTTCGTTGGAAGCTGGAATTCATACAAATTGCAGACTGCAGCGTTCTGAGAAACATCTTTGTGATGTTTGTATTCAGGACAGAGAGTTGAACATTCCCTATCATAGAGCAGGTTGGAATCACTCCTTTTGTAGTATCTGGAAGTGGACATTTGGAGCGCTTTCAGGCCTATGTTGAAAAAGGAAATATCTTCCCATAGCAACTAGACACAAGCATTCTCAGAAACTTGTTTGTGATGTGTGCCCTCTACTGACAGAGTTGAACCTTTCTTTTCATAGAGCAGTTTTGAAACACTCTTTTTGTAGAATCCGCAAGAGGATATTTGCATAGCTTTGAGGATTTCGTGGGAAACGGGATTGTCTTCAGGTAAAATCTAGACAGAAGCATTCTCAGAAACTTCTTTGGGATGTTTGCATTCAAGTCACAGAGTAGAACATTCCCTTTGGTAGAGCAGGTTTGAAACACTCTTTTTGTAGTATCTGGAAGTGGACATTTGGAGCGCTTTCAGGCCCATGTTGGAAAGGGAAATATCTTCCCGTAACAACTAGGCAGAAGCATTCTCAGAAACTTATTTGAGATGTGTGTACTCAACTAAGAGAATTGAACCACCGTTTTGAAGGAGCAGTTTTGAAACCCTCTTTTTCTGGAATCTGCAAGAGTATATTTGCCTAGCCTTGAGGATTTCGTTGGAAACGGGATTGTCTTCAGATAAAATCTAGACAGAAGCATTCTCAGAAACTTCTTTGGGATGTTTGCATTCAAGTCACAGAGTAGAACATTCCCTTTGGTAGAGCAGGTTTGAAACACTCTTTTTTTAGTATATGGAAGTGGACATTTGGAGCGCTTTCAGGCCTACGTTGGAAAAGGAAATATCTTCCCATAACAACTAGACAGAAGCATTCTCAGAAACTAGTTTCTGATGTGTGTCCTCAACTAACACAGTTGTACATTTCTTTAGACAGAACAGTTTTGAAACACTCTTTTTGTGGAATCTGCAAGTGGATATTGGGCTAGATTTGAGGATTTCGTTGGAAACGGGATTACATATAAAAAGCAGACAGCAGCATTCTCAGAAAGTTCTTTGTGATGATTGCATTCAAGTCACAGAATTGAACATTCCCTTTCACAGAGCAGGTTTGAAACACTCTTTTTGTAGTGTGTGTAAGTGGACATTTTGAGCGCTTTCCTGCCTAAGGTGAAAGAGGAAATATCTTCCCATAAAAACTAGACAGAAGCATTCTCAGAAACTTACTCGTGATGTGTGTCCTCAACTAAAGGAGTAGAACCTTTCTATTCATAGAGAAGTTTTGAAACGCTCTTTTTGTGGAATCTCCAAGTGGATATTTGGCTAGTTTTGAGGATTTCGTTGGAAGCGGAAATTCATACAAATTGCAGACTGCAGCGTTCTGAGAAACATCTTTGTGATGTTTGTATTCAGGACACAGAGATGAACATTCCCTATCATAGAGCAGGTTGGAATCACTCCTTTTGTAGTATCTGGAAGTGGACATTTGGAGCGCTTTCAGGCCTATGTTGAAAAAGGAAATATCTTCCCGTAACAACTAGACACAAGCATTCTCAGAAACTTATTTGAGATGTGTGTACTCAACTAAGAGAATTGAACCACCGTTTTGAAGGAGCAGTTTTGAAACTCTCTTTTTCTGGAATCTGCAAGTGGATATTTGGCTAGCTTTGGGGATTTCGCTGGAAGCGGGAATACATATAAAAAGCACACAGCAGCGTTCTGAGAAACTGCTTTCTGATGTTTGCATTCAAGTCAAAAGTTGAACACTCCCTTTCATAGAGCAGTCCTGAAACACCCCTTTTGTAGTATCTGGAACTGGACTTTTGGAGCGATTTCAGGGCTAAGGTGAAAAAGGAAATATCTTCCCATAAAAACTGGACAGAAGCATTCTCAGAAACTTGTTTATGCTGTATCTACTCAACTAACAAAGTTGAACCTTTCTTTTGATAGAGCAGTTTTGAAATGGTCTTTTTGTGGAATCTGCAAGTGGATATTTGGCTAGTTTTGAGGATTTCGTTGGAAGCGGGAATTCATACAAATTGCAGACTGCAGCGTTCTGAGAAACATCTTTGTGATGTTTGTATTCAGGACACAGAGTTGAACATTCCCTATCATAGAGCAGGTTGGAATCACTCCTTTTGTAGTATCTGGAAGTGGACATTTGGAGCGCTTTCAGGCCTATGTTGAAAAAGGAAATATCTTCCAATAACAACTAGACACAAGCATTCTCAGAAACTTGTTTGTGATGTGTGCCCTCTACTGACAGAGTTGAACCTTTCTTTTCATAGAGCAGTTTTGAAACACTCTTTTTGTAGAATCTGCAAGAGGATATTTGCATAGCTTTGAGGATTTCGTGGGAAACGGGATTGTCTTCAGGTAAAATCTAGACAGAAGCATTCTCAGAAACTTCTTTGGGATGTTTGCATTCAAGTCACAGAGTAGAACATTCCCTTTGGTAGAGCAGGTTTGAAACACTCTTTTTGTAGTATCTGGAAGTGGACATTTGGAGCGCTTTCAGGCCCATGTTGGAAAGGGAAATATCTTCCCGTAACAACTAGGCAGAAGCATTCTCAGAAACTTATTTGAGATGTGTGTACTCAACTAAGAGAATTGAACCACCGTTTTGAAGGAGCAGTTTTGAAACACTCTTTTTCTGGAATCTGCAAGAGTATATTTGCCTAGCCTTGAGGATTTCGTTGGAAACGGGATTGTCTTCAGAGAAAATCTAGACAGAAGCATTCTCAGAAACTTCTTTGGGATGTTTGCATTCAAGTCACAGAGTAGAACATTCCCTTTGGTAGAGCAGGTTTGAAACACTCTTTTTGTAGTATCTGGAAGTGGACATTTGGAGCGCTTTCAGGCCTACGTTGGAAAAGGAAATATCTTCCCATAACAACTAGACAGAAGCATTCTCAGAAACTAGTTTCTGATGTGTGTCCTCAACTAACACAGTTGAACATTTCTTTAGACAGAACAGTTTTGAAACACTCTTTTTGTGGAATCTGCAAGTGGGTATTTGGCTAGATTTGAGGATTTCGTTGGAAACGGGATTACATATAAAAAGCAGTCAGCAGCATTCTCAGAAAGTTCTTTGTGATGATTGCATTCAAGTCACAGAATTGAACATTCCCTTTCACAGAGCAGGTTTGAAACACTCTTTTTGTAGTGTGTGTAAGTGGACATTTGGAGCACTTACCGGCCTAAGGTGAAAAAGGAAATATCTTCCCATAAAAACTAGACAGAAGCATTCTCAGAAACTTACTCGTGATGTGTGTCCTCAACTAAAGGAGTAGAACCTTTCTTTTCATAGAGAAGTTTTGAAACGCTCTTTTTGTGGAATCTGCAAGTGGATATTTGGCTAGTTTTGAGGATTTCGTTGGAAGCGGGAATTCATACAAATTGCAGACTGCAGCGTTCTGAGAAACATCTTTGTGATGTTTGTATTCAGGACACAGAGTTGAACATTCCCTATCATAGAGCAGGTTGGAATCACTCCTTTTGTAGTATCTGGAAGTGGACATTTGGAGCGCTTTCAGGCCTATGTTGGAAAAGGAAATATCTTCCCATAACAACTAGACAGAAGCATTCTCAGAAACTTATTTGAGATGTGTGTACTCAACTAAGAGAATTGAACCACCGTTTTGAAGGAGCAGTTTTGAAACTCTCTTTTTCTGGAATCTGCAAGTGGATATTTGGCTAGCTTTGGGGATTTCGCTGGAAGCGGGAATACATATAAAAAGCACACAGCAGCGTTCTGAGAAACTGCTTTCTGATGTTTGCATTCAAGTCAAAAGTTGAACACTCCCTTTCATAGAGCAGTCTTGAAACACCCGTTTTGTAGTATCTGGAACTGGACTGTTGGAGCGATTTCAGGGCTAAGGTGAAAAAGGAAATATCTTCCCATAAAAACTGGACAGAAGCATTCTCAGAAACTTGTTTATGCTGTAACTACTCAACTAACAAAGTTGAACCTTTCTTTTGATAGAGCAGTTTTGAAATGGTCTTTTTGTGGAATCTGCAAGTGGATATTTGGCTAGTTTTGAGGATTTCGTTGGAAGCGGGAATTCATACAAATTGCAGACTGCAGCGTTCTGAGAAACATCTTTGTGATGTTTGTATTCAGGACACAGAGTTGAACATTCCCTATCATAGAGCAGGTTGGAATCACTCCTTTTGTAGTATCTGGAAGTGGACATTTGGAGCGCTTTCAGGCCTATTTTGGAAAGGGAAATATCTTCCCGTAACAACTATGCAGAAGCATTCTCAGAAACTTGTTTGTGATGTGTGCCCTCTACTGACAGAGTTGAACCTTTCTTTTCATAGAGCAGTTTTGAAACACTCTTTTTGTAGAATCTGCAAGAGGATATTTGCATAGCTTTGAGGATTTCGTGGGAAACGGGATTGTCTTCAGGTAAAATCTAGACAGAAGCATTCTCAGAAACTTCTTTGGGATGTTTGCATTCAAGTCACAGAGTAGAACATTCCCTTTGGTAGAGCAGGTTTGAAACACTCTTTTTGTAGTATCTGGAAGTGGACATTTGGAGCGCTTTCAGGCCCATGTTGGAAAAGGAAATATCTTCCTGTAACAACTAGGCAGAAGCATTCTCAGAAACTTATTTGAGATGTGTGTACTCAACTAAGAGAATTGAACCACCGTTTTGAAGGAGCAATTTTGAAACACTCTTTTTCTGGAATCTGCAAGAGTATATTTGCCTAGCCTTGAGGATTTCGTTGGAAACGGGATTGTCTTCAGAGAAAATCTAGACAGAAAGCATTCTCAGAAACTTCTTTGGGATGTTTGCATTCAAGTCACAGAGTAGAACATTCCCTTTGGTAGAGCAGGTTTGAAACACTCTTTTTTTAGTATATGGAAGTGGACATTTGGAGCGCTTTCAGGCCTACGTTGGAAAAGGAAATATCTTCCCATAACAACTAGACAGAGCATTCTCAGAAACTAGTTTCTGATGTGTGTCCTCAACTAACACAGTTGAACATTTCTTTAGACAGAACAGTTTTGAAACACTCTTTTTGTGGAATCTGCAAGTGGCTATTTGGCTAGATTTGAGGATTTCGTTGGAAACGGGATTACATATAAAAAGCAGTCAGCAGCATTCTCAGAAAGTTCTTTGTGATGATTGCATTCAAGTCACAGAATTGAACATTCCCTTTCACAGAGCAGGTTTGAAACACTCTTTTTGTAGTGTGTGTAAGTGGACATTTGGAGCACTTACCGGCCTAAGGTGAAAAAGGAAATAATCTTCCCATAAAAACTAGACAGAAGCATTCTCAGAAACTTACTCGTGATGTGTGTCCTCAACTAAAGGAGTAGAAACTTTCTTTTCATAGAGAAGTTTTGAAACGCTCTTTTTGTGGAATCTGCAAGTGGATATTTGGCTAGTTTTGAGGATTTCGTTGGAAGCGGGAATTCATACAAATTGCAGACTGCAGCGTTCTGAGAAACATCTTTGTGATGTTTGTATTCAGGACACAGAGTTGAACATTCCCTATCATAGAGCAGGTTGGAATCACTCCTTTTGTAGTATCTGGAAGTGGACATTTGGAGCGCTTTCAGGCCTATGTTGGAAAAGGAAATATCTTCCCATAACAACTAGACAGAAGCATTCTCAGAAACTTATTTGAGATGTGTGTACTCAACTAAGAGAATTGAACCACCGTTTTGAAGGAGCAGTTTTGAAACTCTCTTTTTCTGGAATCTGCAAGTGGATATTTGGCTAGCTTTGGGGATTTCGCTGGAAGCGGGAATACATATAAAAAGCACACAGCAGCGTTCTGAGAAACTGCTTTCTGATGTTTGCATTCAAGTCAAAAGTTGAACACTCCCTTTCATAGAGCAGTCTTGAAACACCCCTTTTGTAGTATCTGGAACTGGACTTTTGGAGCGATTTCAGGGCTAAGGTGAAAAAGGAAATATCTTCCCATAAAAACTGGACAGAAGCATTCTCAGAAACTTGGTTATGCTGTATCTACTCAACTAACAAAGTTGAACCTTTCTTTTGATAGAGCAGTTTTGAAATGGTCTTTTTGTGGAATCTGCAAGTGGATATTTGGCTAGTTTTGAGGATTTCGTTGGAAGCGGGAATTCATACAAATTGCAGACTGCAGCGTTCTGAGAAACATCTTTGTGATGTTTGTATTCAGGACACAGAGATGAACATTCCCTATCATAGAGCAGGTTGGAATCACTCCTTTTGTAGTATCTGGAAGTCGACATTTGGAGCGCTTTCAGGCCTATGTTGAAAAAGGAAATATCTTCCCATAACAACTAGACACAAGCATTCTCAGAAACTTGTTTGTGATGTGTGCCCTCTACTGACAGAGTTGAACCTTTCTTTTCATAGAGCAGTTTTGAAACACTCTTTTTGTAGAATCTGCAAGAGGATATTTGCATAGCTTTGAGGATTTCGTGGGAAACGGGATTGTCTTCAGGTAAAATCTAGACAGAAGCATTCTCAGAAACTTCTTTGGGATGTTTGCATTCAAGTCACAGAGTAGAACATTCCCTTTGGTAGAGCAGGTTTGAAACACTCTTTTTGTAGTATCTGGAAGTGGACATTTGGAGCGCTTTCAGGCCCATGTTGGAAAGGGAAATATCTTCCCGTAACAACTAGGCAGAAGCATTCTCAGAAACATATTTGAGATGTGTGTACTCAACTAAGAGAATTGAACCACCGTTTTGAAGGAGCAGTTTTGAAACACTCTTTTTCTGTAATCTGCAAGAGTATATTTGCCTAGCCTTGAGGATTTCGTTGGAAACGGGATTGTCTTCAGATAAAATCTAGACAGAAGCATTCTCAGAAACTTCTTTGGGATGTTTGCATTCAAGTCACAGAGTAGAACATTCCCTTTGGTAGAGCAGGTTTGAAACAATCTTTTTTTAGTATATGGAAGTGGACATTTGGAGCGCTTTCAGGCCTACGTTGGAGAAGGAAATATCTTCCCATAACAACTAGACCGAAGCATTCTCAGAAACTAGTTTCTGATGTGTGTCCTCAACTAACACAGTTGTACATTTCTTTAGACAGAACAGTTATGAAACACTCTTTTTGTGGAATCTGCAAGTGGATATTTGGCTAGATTTGAGGATTTCGTTGGAAACGGGATTACATATAAAAAGCAGTCAGCAGCATTCTCAGATAGTTCTTTGTGATGATTGCATTCAAGTCACAGAATTGAAAATTCCCTTTCACAGAGCAGGTTTGAAACATTCTTTTTGTAGTGTGTGTAAGTGGACATTTGGAGAGCTTTCTGGCCTAAGGTGGAAAAGGAAATATCTTCCCATAAAAACTAGACAGAAAGCATTCTCAGAAACTTACTCGTGATGTGTGTCCTCAACTAAAGGAGTAGAACCTTTGTTTTCATAGAGAAGTTTGGAAACGTTCTTTTTGTGGAATCTGCAAGTGGATATTTGGCTAGTTTGGAGGATTTCGTTGGAAGCGGGAATTCATACAAATTGCAGACTGCAGCGTTCTGAGAAACATCTTTGTGATGTTTGTATTCAGGACACAGAGTTGAACATTCCCTATCATAGAGCAGGTTGGAATCACTCCTTTTGTAGTATCTGGAAGTGGACATTTGGAGCGCTTTCAGGCCTATGTTGGAAAAGGAAATATCTTCCCATAACAACTAGACAGAAGCATTCTCAGAAACTTATTTGAGATGTGTGTACTCAACTAAGAGAATTGAACCACCGTTTTGAAGGAGCAGTTTTGAAACACTCTTTTTCTGGAATCTGCAAGTGGATATTTGGCTAGCTTTGGGGATTTCGCTGGAAGCGGGAATACATATAAAAAGCACACAGCAGCGTTCTGAGAAACTGCTTTCTGATGTTTGCATTCAAGTCAAAAGTTGAACACTCCCTTTCATAGAGCAGTCCTGAAACACTCCTTTTGTAGTATCTGGAACTGGACTTTTGGAGCGCTTTCAGGGCTAAGGTGAAAAAGGAAATATCTTCCCATAAAAACTGGACAGAAGCATTCTCAGAAACTTGTTTATGCTGTATCTACTCAACTAACAAAGTTGAACCTTTCTTTTGATAGAGCAGTTTTGAAATGCTCTTTTTGTGGAATCTGCAAGTGGATATTTGGCTAGTTTTGAGGATTTCGTTGGAAGCGGGAATTCATACAAATTGCAGACTGCAGCGTTCTGAGAAACATCTTTGTGATGTTTGTATTCAGGACAGAGAGTTGAACATTCCCTATCATAGAGCAGGTTGGAATCACTCCTTTTGTAGTATCTGGAAGTGGACATTTGGAGCGCTTTCAGGCCTATGTTGAAAAAGGAAATATCTTCCCATAACAACTAGACACAAGCATTCTCAGAAACTTGTTTGTGATGTGTGCCCTCTACTGACAGAGTTGAACCTTTCTTTTCATAGAGCAGTTTTGAAACACTCTTTTTGTAGAATCTGCAAGAGGATATTTGCATAGCTTTGAGGATTTCGTGGGAAACGGGATTGTCTTCAGGTAAAATCTAGACAGAAGCATTCTCAGAAACTTCTTTGGGATGTTTGCATTCAAGTCACAGAGTAGAACATTCCCTTTGGTAGAGCAGGTTTGAAACACTCTTTTTGTAGTATCTGGAAGTGGACATTTGGAGCGCTTTCAGGCCTATGTTGGAAAGGGAAATATCTTCCGGTAACAACTAGGCAGAAGCATTCTAAGAAACTTATTTGAGATGTGTGTACTCAACTAAGAGAATTGAACCACCGTTTTGAAGGAGCAGTTTTGAAACACTCTTTTTCTGGAATCTGCAAGAGGATATTTGCCTAGCTTTGAGGATTTCGTTGGAAACGGGATTGTGTTCAGATCAAATCTAGACAGAAGCATTCTCAGAAACTTCTTTGGGATGTTTGCATTCAAGTCACAGAGTAGAACATTCCCTTTGGTAGAGCAGGTGTGAAACACTCTTTTTTTAGTATATGGAAGTGGACATTTGGAGCGCTTTCAGGCCTACGTTGGAAAAGGAAATATCTTCCCATAACAACTAGACAGAAGCATTCTCAGAAACTAGTTTCTGATGTGTGTCCTCAACTAACACAGTTGAACATTTCTTTAGACAGAACAGTTTTGAAACACTCTTTTTGTGGAATCTGCAAGTGGCTATTTGGCTAGATTTGAGGATTTCGTTGGAAACGGGATTACATATAAAAAGCAGACAGCAGCATTCTCAGAAAGTTCTTTGTGATGATTGCATTCAAGTCACAGAATTGAACATTCCCTTTCACAGGGCTGGTTTGAAACACTCTTTTTGTAGTGTGTGTAAGTGGACATTTGGAGCACTTTCCGGCCTAAGGTGAAAAAGGAAATATCTTCCCATAAAAACTAGACAGAAGCATTCTCAGAAACTTACTCGTGATGTGTGTCCTCAACTAAAGGAGTAGAACCTTTCTATTCATAGAGAAGTTTTCAAACGCTCTTTTTGTGGAATCTCCAAGTGGATATTTGGCTAGTTTTGAGGATTTCGTTGGAAGCGGGAATTCATACAAATTGCAGACTGCAGCGTTATGAGAAACATCTTTGTGATGTTTGTATTCAGGACACAGAGAGGAACATTCCCTATCATAGAGCAGGTTGGAATCACTCCTTTTGTAGTATCTGGAAGTGGACATTTGGAGCGCTTTCAGGCCTATGTTGAAAAAGGAAATATCTTCCCATAACAACTAGACACAAGCATTCTCAGAAACTTGTTTGTGATGTGTACCCTGTACTGACAGAGTTGAACCTTTCTTTTCATAGAGCAGTTTTGAAACACTCTTTTTGTAGAATCTGCAAGAGGATATTTGCATAGCTTTGAGGATTTCGTGGGAAACGGGATTGTCTTCAGGTAAAATCTAGACAGAAGCATTCTCAGAAACTTCTTTGGGATGTTTGCATTCAAGTCACAGAGTAGAACATTCCCTTTGGTAGAGCAGGTTTGAAACACTCTTTTTGTAGTATCTGGAAGTGGACATTTGGAGCGCTTTCAGGCCCATGTTGGAAAGGGAAATATCTTCCCGTAACAACTAGGCAGAAGCATTCTCAGAAACTTATTTGAGATGTGTGTACTCAACTAAGAGAATTGAACCACCGTTTTGAAGGAGCAGTTTTGAAACACTCTTTTTCTGGAATCTGCAAGAGTATATTTGCCTAGCCTTGAGGATTTCGTTGGAAACGGGATTGTCTTCAGAGAAAATCTAGACAGAAGCATTCTCAGAAACTTCTTTGGGATGTTTGCATTCAAGTCACAGAGTAGAACATTCCCTTTGGTAGAGCAGGTTTGAAACACTCTTTTTGTAGTATCTGGAAGTGGACATTTGGAGCGCTTTCAGGCCTACGTTGGAAAAGGAAATATCTTCCCATAACAACTAGACAGAAGCATTCTCAGAAACTAGTTTCTGATGTGTGTCCTCAACTAACACAGTTGAACATTTCTTTAGACAGAACAGTTTTGAAACACTCTTTTTGTGGAATCTGCAAGTGGCTATTTGGCTAGATTTGAGGATTTCGTTGGAAACGGGATTACATATAAAAAGCAGTCAGCAGCATTCTCAGAAAGTTCTTTGTGATGATTGCATTCAAGTCACAGAATTGAACATTCCCTTTCACAGAGCAGGTTTGAAACACTCTTTTTGTAGTGTGTGTAAGTGGACATTTGGAGCACTTACCGGCCTAAGGTGAAAAAGGAAATATCTTCCCATAAAAACTAGACAGAAGCATTCTCAGAAACTTACTCGTGATGTGTGTCCTCAACTAAAGGAGTAGAACCTTTCTTTTCATAGAGAAGTTTTGAAACGCTCTTTTTGTGGAATCTGCAAGTGGATATTTGGCTAGTTTTGAGGATTTCGTTGGAAGCGGGAATTCATACAAATTGCAGACTGCAGCGTTCTGAGAAACATCTTTGTGATGTTTGTATTCAGGACACAGAGTTGAACATTCCCTATCATAGAGCAGGTTGGAATCACTCCTTTTGTAGTATCTGGAAGTGGACATTTGGAGCGCTTTCAGGCCTATGTTGGAAAAGGAAATATCTTCCCATAACAACTAGACAGAAGCATTCTCAGAAACTTATTTGAGATGTGTGTACTCAACTAAGAGAATTGAACCACCGTTTTGAAGGAGCAGTTTTGAAACACTCTTTTTCTGGAATCTGCAAGTGGATATTTGGCTAGCTTTGGGGATTTCGCTGGAAGCGGGAATACATATAAAAAGCACACAGCAGCGTTCTGAGAAACTGCTTTCTGATGTTTGCATTCAAGTCAAAAGTTGAACACTCCCTTTCATAGAGCAGTCTTGAAACACCCCTTTTGTAGTATCTGGAACTGGACTTTTGGAGCGATTTCAGGGCTAAGGTGAAAAAGGAAATATCTTCCCATAAAAACTGGACAGAAGCATTCTCAGAAACTTGTTTATGCTGTATCTACTCAACTAACAAAGTTGAACCTTTCTTTTGATAGAGCAGTTTTGAAATGGTCTTTTTGTGGAATCTGCAAGTGGATATTTGGCTAGTTTTGAGGATTTCGTTGGAAGCGGGAATTCATACAAATTGCAGACTGCAGCGTTCTGAGAAACATCTTTGTGATGTTTGTATTCAGGACACAGAGTTGAACATTCCCTATCATAGAGCAGGTTGGAATCACTCCTTTTGTAGTATCTGGAAGTGGACATTTGGAGCGCTTTCAGGCCTATTTTGGAAAGGGAAATATCTTCCCGTAACAACTATGCAGAAGCATTCTCAGAAACTTGTTTGTGATGTGTGCCCTCTACTGACAGAGTTGAACCTTTCTTTTCATAGAGCAGTTTTGAAACACTCTTTTTGTAGAATCCGCAAGAGGATATTTGCATAGCTTTGAGGATTTCGTGGGAAACGGGATTGTCTTCAGGTAAAATACTAGACAGAAGCATTCTCAGAAACTTCTTTGGGATGTTTGCATTCAAGTCACAGAGTAGAACATTCCCTTTGGTAGAGCAGGTTTGAAACACTCTTTTTGTAGTATCTGGAAGTGGACATTTGGAGCGCTTTCAGGCCTATGTTGGAAAGGGAAATATCTTCCCGTAACAACTAGGCAGAAGCATTCTCAGAAACTTATTTGAGATGTGTGTACTCAACTAAGAGAATTGAACCACCGTTTTGAAGGAGCAGTTTGGAAACACTCTTTTTCTGGAATCTGCAAGAGGATATTTGCCTAGCCTTGAGGATTTCGTTGGAAACGGGATTGTCTTCAGATCAAATCTAGACAGAAGCATTCTCAGAAACTTCTTTGGGATGTTTGCATTCAAGTCACAGAGTAGAACATTCCCTTTGGTAGAGCAGGTTTGAAACACTCTTTTTTTAGTATATGGAAGTGGACATTTGGAGCGCTTTCAGGCCTACGTTGGAAAAGGAAATATCTTCCCATAACAACTAGACAGAAGCATTCTCAGAAACTAGTTTCTGATGTGTGTCCTCAACTAACACAGTTGAACATTTCTTTAGACAGAACAGTTTTGAAACTCTCTTTTTGTGGAATCTGCAAGTGGCTATTTGGCTAGATTTGAGGATTTCGTTGGAAACGGGATTACATATAAAAAGCAGACAGCACCATTCTCAGAAAGTTCTTTGTGATGATTGCATTCAAGTCACAGAATTGAACATTCCCTTTCACAGAGCAGGTTTGAAACACTCTTTTTGTAGTGTGTGTAAGTGGACATTTGGAGCACTTTCCGGCCTAAGGTGAAAAAGGAAATATCTTCCCATAAAAACTAGACAGAAGCATTCTCAGAAACTTACTCGTGATGTGTGTCCTCAACTAAAGGAGTAGAACCTTTCTTTTCATAGAGAAGTTTTGAAACGCTCTTTTTGTGGAATCTGCAAGTGGATATTTGGCTAGTTTTGAGGATTTCGTTGGAAGCGGGAATTCATACAAATTGCAGACTGCAGCGTTCTGAGAAACATCTTTGTGATGTTTGTATTCAGGACACAGAGTTGAACATTCCCTATCATAGAGCAGGTTTGAATCACTCCTTTTGTAGTATCTGGAAGTGGACATTTGGAGCGCTTTCAGGCCTATGTTGGAAAAGGAAATATCTTCCCATAACAACTAGACAGAAGCATTCTCAGAAACTTATTTGAGATGTGTGTACTCAACTAAGAGAATTGAACCACCGTTTTGAAGGAGCAGTTTTGAAACTCTCTTTTTCTGGAATCTGCAAGTGGATATTTGGCTAGCTTTGGGGATTTCGCTGGAAGCGGGAATACATATAAAAAGCACACAGCAGCGTTCTGAGAAACTGCTTTCTGATGTTTGCATTCAAGTCAAAAGTTGAACACTCCCTTTCATAGAGCAGTCTTGAAACACCCCTTTTGTAGTATCTGGAACTGGACTTTTGGAGCGATTTCAGGGCTAAGGTGAAAAAGGAAATATCTTCCCATAAAAACTGGACAGAAGCATTCTCAGAAACTTGGTTATGCTGTATCTACTCAACTAACAAAGTTGAACCTTTCTTTTGATAGAGCAGTTTTGAAATGGTCTTTTTGTGGAATCTGCAAGTGGATATTTGGCTAGTTTTGAGGATTTCGTTGGAAGCGGGAATTCATACAAATTGCAGACTGCAGCGTTCTGAGAAACATCTTTGTGATGTTTGTATTCAGGACACAGAGTTGAACATTCCCTATCATAGAGCAGGTTGGAATCACTCCTTTTGTAGTATCTGGAAGTGGACATTTGGAGCGCTTTCAGGCCTATTTTGGAAAGGGAAATATCTTCCCGTAACAACTATGCAGAAGCATTCTCAGAAACTTGTTTGTGATGTGTGCCCTCTACTGACAGAGTTGAACCTTTCTTTTCATAGAGCAGTTTTGAAACACTCTTTTTGTAGAATCTGCAAGAGGATATTTGCATAGCTTTGAGGATTTCGTGGGAAACGGGATTGTCTTCAGGTAAAATCTAGACAGAAGCATTCTCAGAAACTTCTTTGGGATGTTTGCATTCAAGTCACAGAGTAGAACATTCCCTTTGGTAGAGCAGGTTTGAAACACTCTTTTTGTAGTATCTGGAAGTGGACATTTGGAGCGCTTTCAGGCCCATGTTGGAAAGGGAAATATCTTCCCGTAACAACTAGGCAGAAGCATTCTCAGAAACTTATTTGAGATGTGTGTACTCAACTAAGAGAATTGAACCACCGTTTTGAAGGAGCAGTTTTGAAACACTCTTTTTCTGGAATCTGCAAGAGTATATTTGCCTAGCCTTGAGGATTTCGTTGGAAACGGGATTGTCTTCAGAGAAAATCTAGACAGAAGCATTCTCAGAAACTTCTTTGGGATGTTTGCATTCAAGTCACAGAGTAGAACATTCCCTTTGGTAGAGCAGGTTTGAAACACTCTTTTTGTAGTATATGGAAGTGGACATTTGGAGCGCTTTCAGGCCTACGTTGGAAAAGGAAATATCTTCCCATAACAACTAGACAGAAGCATTCTCAGAAACTAGTTTCTGATGTGTGTCCTCAACTAACACAGTTGAACATTTCTTTAGACAGAACAGTTTTGAAACACTCTTTTTGTGGAATCTGCAAGTGGCTATTTGGCTAGATTTGAGGATTTCGTTGGAAACGGGATTACATATAAAAAGCAGTCAGCAGCATTCTCAGAAAGTTCTTTGTGATGATTGCATTCAAGTCACAGAATTGAACATTCCCTTTCACAGAGCAGGTTTGAAACACTCTTTTTGTAGTGTGTGTAAGTGGACATTTGGAGCACTTACCGGCCTAAGGTGAAAAAGGAAATATCTTCCCATAAAAACTAGACAGAAGCATTCTCAGAAACTTACTCGTGATGTGTGTCCTCAACTAAAGGAGTAGAACCTTTCTTTTCATAGAGAAGTTTTGAAACGCTCTTTTTGTGGAATCTGCAAGTGGATATTTGGCTAGTTTTGAGGATTTCGTTGGAAGCGGGAATTCATACAAATTGCAGACTGCAGCGTTCTGAGAAACATCTTTGTGATGTTTGTATTCAGGACACAGAGTTGAACATTCCCTATCATCGAGCAGGTTTGAATCACTCCTTTTGTAGTATCTGGAAGTGGACATTTGGAGCGCTTTCAGGCCTATGTTGGAAAAGGAAATATCTTCCCATAACAACTAGACAGAAGCATTCTCAGAAACTTATTTGAGATGTGTGTACTCAACTAAGAGAATTGAACCACCGTTTTGAAGGAGCAGTTTTGAAACACTCTTTTTCTGGAATCTGCAAGTGGATATTTGGCTAGCTTTGGGGATTTCGCTGGAAGCGGGAATACATATAAAAAGCACACAGCAGCGTTCTGAGAAACTGCTTTCTGATGTTTGCATTCAAGTCAAAAGTTGAACACTCCCTTTCATAGAGCAGTCTTGAAACACCCCTTTTGTAGTATCTGGAACTGGACATTTGGAGCGCTTTCAGGGCTAAGGTGAAAAAGGAAATATCTTCCCATAAAAACTGGACAGAAGCATTCTCAGAAACTTGTTTATGCTGTATCTACTCTACTAACAAAGTTGAACCTTTCTTTTGATAGAGCAGTTTTGAAATGCTCTCTTTGTGGAATCTGCAAGTGGATATTTGGCTAGTTTTGAGGATTTCGTTGGAAGCTGGAATTCATGCAAATTGCAGACTGCAGCGTTCTGAGAAACATCTTTGTGATGTTTGTATTCAGGACACAGAGTTGAACTTTCCCTATCATAGAGCAGGTTGGAATCACTCCTTTTGCAGTATCTGGAAGTGGACATTTGGAGCGCTTTCAGGCCTATTTTGGAAAGGGAAATATCTTCCCGTAACAACTAGGCAGAAGCATTCTCTGAAACTTATTTGAGATGTGTGTACTCAACTAAGAGAATTGAACCACCGTTTTGAAGGAGCAGTTTTGAAACACTCTTTTTCTGGAATCTGCTAGAGCATATTTGCCTAGCTTTGAGGATTTCGTTGGAAACGGGATTGTCTTCAGATAAAATCTAGACAGAAGCATTCTCAGAAACTTCTTTGGGATGTTTGTATTCAAGTCACAGAGTAGAACATTCCCTTTGGTAGAGCAGGTTTGAAACACTCTTTTTTTAGTATATGGAAATGGACATTTGGAGCGCTTTCAGGCCTACGTTGGAAAAGGAAATATCTTCCCATAACAACTACACAGAAGCATTCTCCGAAACTAGTTTCTGATGTGTGTCCTCAACTAACACAGTTGAACTTTTCTTTAGACAGAACAGTTTTGAAACACTCTTTTTGTGGAATCTGCAAGTGGATATTTGGCTAGATTTGAGGATTTCGTTGGAAACGGGATTACATATAAAAAGCAGACAGCAGCATTCTCAGAAAGTTCTTTGTGATGATTGCATTCAAGTCACAGAATTGAACATTCCCTTTCACAGAGCAGGTTTGAAACACTCTTTTTGTAGTGTGTGTAAGTGGACATTTGGAGCGCTTTCCGGCCTAAGGTGAAAAAGGACATATCTTCCCATAAAAACTAGACAGAAGCATTCTCAGAAACTTACTCGTGATGTGTGTCCTCAACTAAAGGAGTAGAACCTTTCTATTCATAGAGAAGTTTTGAAACGCTCTTTTTGTGGAATCTCCAAGTGGATATTTGGCTAGTGTTGAGGATTTCGTAGGAAGCGGGAATTCATCCAAATTGCAGACTGCAGCGTTCTGAGAAACATCTTTGTGATGTTTGTATTCAGGACACAGAGATGAACATTCCCTATCATAGAGCAGGTTGGAATCACTCCTTTTGTAGTATCTGGAAGTGGACATTTGGAGCGCTTTCAGGCCTATGTTGAAAAAGGAAATATCTTCCCATAACAACTAGACACAAGCATTCTCAGAAACTTGTTTGTGATGTGTGCCCTCTACTGACAGAGTTGAACCTTTCTTTTCATAGAGCAGTTTTGAAACACTCTTTTTGTAGAATCTGCAAGAGGATATTTGCATAGCTTTGAGGATTTCGTGGGAAACGGGAGTGTCTTCAGGTAAAATCTAGACAGAAGCATTCTCAGAAACTTCTTTGGGATGTTTGCATTCAAGTCACAGAGTAGAACATTCCCTTTGGTAGAGCAGGTTTGAAACCCTCTTTTTGTAGTATCTGGAAGTGGACATTTGGAGCGCTTTCAGGCCCATGTTGGAAAGGGAAATATCTTCCCGTAACAACTAGGCAGAAGCATTCTCAGAAACTTATTTGAGATGTGTGTACTCAACTAAGAGAATTGAACCACCGTTTTGAAGGAGCAGTTTTGAAACACTCTTTTTCTGGAATCTGCAAGAGTATATTTGCCTAGCCTTGAGGATTTCGTTGGAAACGGGATTGTCTTCAGATAAAATCTAGACAGAAGCATTCTCAGAAACTTCTTTGGGATGTTTGCATTCAAGTCACAGAGTAGAACATTCCCTTTGGTAGAGCAGGTTTGAAACACTCTTTTTTTAGTATATGGAAGTGGACATTTGGAGCGCTTTCAGGCCTACGTTGGAAAAGGAAATATCTTCCCATAACAACTAGACAGAAGCATTCTCAGAAACTAGTTTCTGATGTGTGTCCTCAACTAACACAGTTGAACTTTTCTTTAGACAGAACAGTTTTGAAACACTCTTTTTGTGGAATCTGCAAGTGGATATTTGGCTAGATTTGAGGATTTCGTTGGAAACGGGATTACATATAAAAAGCAGACAGCAGCATTCTCAGAAAGTTCTTTGTGATGATTGCATTCAAGTCACCGAATTGAACATTCCCTTTCACAGAGCAGGTTTGAAACATGCTTTTTGTAGTGTGTGTAAGTGGACATTTGGAGCGCTTTCCGGCCTAAGGTGAAAAAGGAAATATCTTCCCATAAAAACTAGACAGAAGCATTCTCAGAAACTTACTCGTGATGTGTGTCCTCAACTAAAGGAGTAGAACCTTTCTATTCATAGAGAAGTTTTGAAACGCTCTTTTTGTGGAATCTCCAAGTGGATATTTGGCTAGTTTTGAGGATTTCGTTGGAAGCGGGAATTCATACAAATTGCAGACTGCAGCGTTCTGAGAAACATCTTTGTGATGTTTGTATTCAAGACACAGAGATGAACATTCCCTCTCATAGAGCATGTTGGAATCACTCCTTTTGTAGTATCTGGAAGTGGACATTTGGAGCGCTTTCAGGCCTATGTTGAAAAAGGAAATATCTTCCCATAACAACTAGACACAAGCATTCTCAGAAACTTGTTTGTGATGTGTGCCCTCTACTGACAGAGTTGAACCTTTCTTTTCATAGAGCAGTTTTGAAACACTCTTTTTGTAGAATCCGCAAGAGGATATTTGCATAGCTTTGAGGATTTCGTGGGAAACGGGATTGTCTTCAGGTAAAATCTAGACAGAAGCATTCTCAGAAACTCCTTTGGGATGTTTGCATTCAAGTCACAGAGTAGAACATTCCCTTTGGTAGAGCAGGTTTGAAACACTCTTTTTGTAGTATCTGGAAGTGGACATTTGGAGCGCTTTCAGGCCCATGTTGGAAAGGGAAATATCTTCCCGTAACAACTAGGCAGAAGCATTCTCAGAAACTTATTTGAGATGTGTGTACTCAACTAAGAGAATTGAACCACCGTTTTGAAGGAGCAGTTTTGAAACACTCTTTTTCTGGAATCTGCAAGAGTATATTTGCCTAGCCTTGAGGATTTCGTTGGAAACGGGATTGTCTTCAGATAAAATCTAGACAGAAGCATTCTCAGAAACTTCTTTGGGATGTTTGCATTCAAGTCACAGAGTAGAACATTCCCTTTGGTAGAGCAGGTTTGAAACACTCTTTTTTTAGTATATGGAAGTGGACATTTGGAGCGCTTTCAGGCCTACGTTGGAAAAGGAAATATCTTCCCATAACAACTAGACAGAAGCATTCTCAGAAACTAGTTTCTGATGTGTGTCCTCAACTAACACAGTTGTACATTTCTTTAGACAGAACAGTTTTGAAACACTCTTTTTGTGGAATCTGCAAGTGGATATTGGGCTAGATTTGAGGATTTCGTTGGAAACGGGATTACATATAAAAAGCAGTCAGCAGCATTCTCAGAAAGTTCTTTGTGATGATTGCATTCAAGTCACAGAATTGAACATTCCCTTTCACAGAGCAGGTTTGAAACACTCTTTTTGTAGTGTGTGTAAGTGGACATTTGGAGTGCTTTCCGGCCTAAGGTGAAAAAGGACATATCTTCCCATAAATACTAGACAGAAGCATTCTCAGAAACTTACTCGTGATGTGTGTCCTCAACTAAAGGAGTAGAACCTTTCTTTTCATAGAGAAGTTTTGAAACGCTCTTTTTGTGGAATCTGCAAGTGGATATTTGGCTAGTTTTGAGGATTTCGTTGGAAGCGGGAATTCATACAAATTGCAGACTGCAGCGTTCTGAGAAACATCTTTGTGATGTTTGTATTCAGGACACAGAGTTGAACATTCCCTATCATAGAGCAGGTTGGAATCACTCCTTTTGTAGTATCTGGAAGTGGACATTTGGAGCGCTTTCAGGCCTATGTTGCAAAAGGAAATATCTTCCCATAACAACTAGACAGAAGCATTCTCAGAAACTTATTTGAGATGTGTGTACTCAACTAAGAGAATTGAACCACCGTTTTGAAGGAGCAGTTTTGAAACACTCTTTTTCTGGAATCTGCAAGTGGATATTTGGCTAGCTTTGGGGATTTCGCTGGAAGCGGGAATACATATAAAAAGCACACAGCAGCGTTCTGAGAAACTGCTTTCTGATGTTTGCATTCAAGTCAAAAGTTGAACACTCCCTTTCATAGAGCAGTCCTGAAACACCCCTTTTGTAGTATCTGGAACTGGACTTTTGGAGCGATTTCAGGGCTAAGGTGAAAAAGGAAATATCTTCCCATAAAAACTGGACAGAAGCATTCTCAGAAACTTGTTCATGCTGTATCTACTCTACTAAAAAAGTTGAACCTTTCTTTTGATAGAGCAGTTTTGAAATGCTCTTTTTGTGGAATCTGCAAGTGGATATTTGGCTAGATTTGAGGATTTCGTTGGAAGCTGGAATACATACAAATTGCAGACTGCAGCGTTCTGAGAAACATCTTTGTGATGTTTGTATTCAGGACACAGAGTTGAACATTCCCTATCATAGAGCAGGTTGGAATCACTCCTTTTGTAGTATCTGGAAGTGGACATTTGGAGCGCTTTCAGGCCTATGTTGAAAAAGGAAATATCTTCCCATAACAACTAGACACAAGCATTCTCAGAAACTTGTTTGTGATGTGTGCCCTCTACTGACAGAGTTGAACCTTTCTTTTCATAGAGCAGTTTTGAAACACTCTTTTTGTAGAATCTGCAAGAGGATATTTGCATAGCTTTGAGGATTTCGTGGGAAACGGGATTGTCTTCAGGTAAAATCTAGACAGAAGCATTCTCAGAAACTTCTTTGGGATGTTTGCATTCAAGTCACAGAGTAGAACATTCCCTTTGGTAGAGCAGGTTTGAAACACTCTTTTTTTAGTATATGGAAGTGGACATTTGGAGCGCTTTCAGGCCTACGTTGGAAAAGGAAATATCTTCCCATAACAACTAGACAGAAGCATTCTCAGAAACTAGTTTCTGATGTGTGTCCTCAACTAACACAGTTGAACATTTCTTTAGACAGAACAGTTTTGAAACTCTCTTTTTGTGGAATCTGCAAGTGGATATTTGGCTAGATTTGAGGATTTCGTTGGAAACGGGATTACATATAAAAAGCAGACAGCAGCATTCTCAGAAAGTTCTTTGTGATGATTGCATTCAAGTCACAGAATTGAACATTCCCTTTCACAGAGCAGGTTTGAAACACTCTTTTTGTAGTGTGTGTAAGTGGACATTTGGAGCACTTTCCGGCCTAAGGTGAAAAAGGAAATATCTTCCCATAAAAACTAGACAGAAGCATTCTCAGAAACTTACTCGTGATGTGTGTCCTCAACTAAAGGAGTAGAACCTTTCTTTTCATAGAGAAGTTTTGAAACGCTCTTTTTGTGGAATCTGCAAGTGGATATTTGGCTAGTTTGGAGGATTTCGTTGGAAGCGGGAATTCATACAAATTGCAGACTGCAGCGTTCTGAGAAACATCTTTGTGATGTTTGTATTCAGGACACTGAGTTGAACATTCCCTATCATAGAGCAGGTTGGAATCACTCCTTTTGTAGTATCTGGAAGTGGACATTTGGAGCGCTTTCAGGCCTATGTTGGAAAAGGAAATATCTTCCCATAACAACTAGACAGAAGCATTCTCAGAAACTTATTTGAGATGTGTGTACTCAACTAAGAGAATTGAACCACCGTTTTGAAGGAGCAGTTTTGAAACACTCTTTTTCTGGAATCTGCAAGTGGATATTTGGCTAGCTTTGGGGAATTCGCTGGAAGCGGGAATACATATAAAAAGCACACAGCAGCGTTCTGAGAAACTGCTTTCTGATGTTTGCATTCAAGTCAAAAGTTGAACACTCCCTTTCATAGAGCAGTCCTGAAACACTCCTTTTGTAGTATCTGGAACTGGACTTTTGGAGCGCTTTCAGGGCTAAGGTGAAAAAGGAAATATCTTCCCATAAAAACTGGACAGAAGCGTTCTGAGAAACAGCTTTCTGATGTTTGCATTCAAGTCAAAAGTTGAACACTCCCTTTCATAGAGCAGTCTTGAAACACCCCTTTTGTAGTATCTGGAACTGGACATTTGGAGCGCTTTCAGGGCTAAGGTGAAAAAGGAAATATCTTCCCATAAAAACTGGACAGAAGCATTCTCAGAAACTTGTTTACGCTGTATCTACTCTACTAACAAAGTTGAACCTTTCTTTTGATAGAGCAGTTTTGAAATGCTCTTTTTGTGGAATCTGCAAGTGGATATTTGGCTAGTTTTGAGGATTTCGTTGGAAGCTGGAATTCATACAAATTGCAGACTGCAGCGTTCTGAGAAACATCTTTGTGATGTTTGTATTCAGGACACAGAGTTGAACATTCCCTATCATAGAGCAGGTTGGAATCACTCCTTTTGTAGTATCTGGAAGTGGACATTTGGAGCGCTTTCAGGCCTATGTTGAAAAAGGAAATATCTTCCCATAACAACTAGACACAAGCATTCTCAGAAACTTGTTTGTGATGTGTGCCCTCTACTGACAGAGTTGAACCTTTCTTTTCATAGAGCAGTTTTGAAACACTCTTTTTGTAGAATCTGCAAGAGGATATTTGCATAGCTTTGAGGATTTCGTGGGAAACGGGATTGTCTTCAGGTAAAATCTAGACAGAAGCATTCTCAGAAACTTCTTTGGGATGTTTGCATTCAAGTCACAGAGCAGAACATTCCCTTTGGTAGAGCAGGTTTGAAACACTCTTTTTGTAGTATCTGGAAGTGGACATTTGGAGCGCTTTCAGGCCTATGTTGGAAAGGGAAATATCTTCCCGTAACAACTAGGCAGAAGCATTCTCGGAAACTTATTTGAGATGTGTGTACTCAACTAAGAGAATTGAACCACCCTTTTGAAGGAGCAGTTTTGAAACACTCTTTTTCTGGAATCTGCAAGAGTATATTTGCCTAGCTTTGAGGATTTCCGTTGGAAACGGGATTGTCTTCAGATCAAATCTAGACAGAAGCATTCTCAGAAACTTCTTTGGGATGCTTGCATTCAAGTCACAGAGTAGAACATTCCCTTTGGTAGAGCAGGTTTGAAACACTCTTTTTTTAGTATCTGGAAGTGGACATTTGGAGCGCTTTCAGGCCTACGTTGGAAAAGGAAATATCTTCCCATAACAACTAGACAGAAGCATTCTCAGAAACTAGTTTCTGATGTGTGTCCTCAACTAACACAGTTGAACATTTCTTTAGACAGAACAGTTTTGAAACACTCTTTTTGTGGAATCTGCAAGTGGCTATTTGGCTAGATTTGAGGATTTCGTTGGAAACGGGATTACATATAAAAAGCAGTCAGCGGCATTCTCAGAAAGTTCTTTGTGATGATTGCATTCAAGTCACAGAATTGAACATTCCCTTTCACAGAGCAGGTTTGAAACACTCTTTTTGTAGTGTGTGTAAGTGGACATTTGGAGCACTTACCGGCCTAAGGTGAAAAAGGAAATAATCTTCCCATAAAAACTAGACAGAAGCATTCTCAGAAACTTACTCGTGATGTGTGTCCTCAACTAAAGGAGTAGAACCTTTCTTTTCATAGAGAAGTTTTGAAACGCTCTTTTTGTGGAATCTGCAAGTGGATATTTGGCTAGTTTGGAGGATTTCGTTGGAAGCGGGAATTCATACAAATTGCAGACTGCAGCGTTCTGAGAAACATCTTTGTGATGTTTGTATTCAGGACACAGAGTTGAACATTCCCTATCATAGAGCAGGTTTGAATCACTCCTTTTCTAGTATCTGGAAGTGGACATTTGGAGCGCTTTCAGGCCTATGTTGGAAAAGGAAATATCTTCCCATAACAAATAGACAGAAGCATTCTCAGAAACTTATTTGAGATGGGTGTACTCAACTAAGAGAATTGAACCACCGTTTTCAAGGAGCAGTTTTGAAACGCTCTTTTTCTGGAATCTGCAAGTGGATATTTGGCTAGCTTTGGGGATTTCGCTGGAAGCGGGAATACATATAAAAAACACACAGCAGCGTTCTGAGAAACTGCTTTCTGATGTTTGCATTCAAATCAAAAGTTGAACACTCCCTTTCATAGAGCAGTCTTGAAACACCCCTTTTGTAGTATCTGGAACTGGACATTTGGGGCGCTTTCAGGGCTAAGGTGAAAAAGGAAATATCTTCCCATAAAAACTGGACAGAAGCATTCTCAGAAACTTGTTTATGCTGTATCTACTCAACTAACAAAGTTGAACCTTTCTTTTGATAGAGCAGTTTTGAAATGCTCTTTTTGTGGAATCTGCAAGTGGATATTTGGCTAGTTTTGAGGATTTCGTTGGAAGCGGGAATTCATACAAATTGCAGACTGCAGCGTTCTGAGAAACATCTTTGTGATGTTTGTATTCAGGACAGAGAGTTGAACATTCCCTATCATAGAGCAGGTTGGAATCACTCCTTTTGTAGTATCTGGAAGTGGACATTTGGAGCACTTTCCGGCCTAAGGTGAAAAAGGAAATATCTTCCCATAAAAACTAGACAGAAGCATTCTGAGAAACTTACTCGTGATGTGTGTCCTCCACTAAATGAGTAGAACCTTTCTTTTCATAGAGAAGTTTTGAAACGCTCTTTTTGTAGAATCTGCAAGAGGATATTTGCATAGCTTTGAGGATTTCGTGGGAAACGGGATTGTCTTCAGGTAAAATCTAGACAGAAGCATTCTCAGAAACTTCTTTGGGATGTTTGCATTCAAGTCACAGAGTAGAACATTCCCTTTGGTAGAGTAGGTTTGAAACACTCTTTTTGTATTATCTGGAAGTGGACATTTGGAGCGCTTTCAGGCCTATGTTGGAAAGGGAAATATCTTCCCGTAACAACTAGGCAGAAGCATTCTCAGAAACTTATTTGAGATGTGTGTACTCAACTAAGAGAATTGAACCACCGTTTTGAAGGCGCAGTTTTGAAACACTCTTTTTCTGGAATCTGCAAGAGTATATTTGCCTAGCCTTGAGGATTTCGTTGGAAACGGGATTGTCTTCAGAGAAAATCTAGACAGAAGCATTCTCAGAAACTTCTTTGGGATGTTTGCATTCAAGTCACAGAGTAGAACATTCCCTTTGGTAGAGCAGGTTTGAAACACTCTTTTTTTAGTATATGGAAGTGGACATTTTGATCGCTTTCAGGCCTACGTTGGAAAAGGAAATATCTTCCCATAACAACTAGACAGAAAGCATTCTCAGAAACTAGTTTCTGATGTGTGCCCTCAACTAACACAGTTGAACATTTCTATAGACAGAACAGTTTTGAAACACTCTTTTTGTGGAATCTGCAAGTGGCTATTTGGCTAGATTTGAGGATTTCGTTGGAAACGGGATTACATATAAAAAGCAGTCAGCAGCATTCTCAGAAAGTTCTTTGTGATGATTGCATTCAAGTCACAGAATTGAACATTCCCTTTCACAGAGCAGGTTTGAAACACTCTTTTTGTAGTGTGTGTAAGTGGACATTTGGAGCACTTACCGGCCTAAGGTGAAAAAGGAAATATCTTCCCATAAAAACTAGACAGAAGCATTCTCAGAAACTTACTCGTGATGTGTGTCCTCAACTAAAGGAGTAGAACCTTTCTTTTCATAGAGAAGTTTTGAAACGCTCTTTTTGTGGAATCTGCAAGTGGATATTTGGCTAGTTTTGAGGATTTCGTTGGAAGCGGGAATTCATACAAATTGCAGACTGCAGCCTTCTGAGAAACATCTTTGTGATGTTTGTATTCAGGACACAGAGTTGAACATTCCCTATCATAGAGCAGGTTTGAATCACTCCTTTTGTAGTATCTGGAAGTGGACATTTGGAGCGCTTTCAGGCCTATGTTGGAAAAGGAAATATCTTCCCATAACAACTAGTCAGAAGCATTCTCAGAAACTTATTTGAGATGTGTGTACTCAACTAAGAGAATTGAACCACCGTTTTGAAGGAGCAGTTTTGAAACACTCTTTTTCTGGAATCTGCAAGTGGATATTTGGCTAGCTTTGGGGATTTCGCTGGAAGCGGGAATACATATAAAAAGCACACAGCAGCGTTCTGAGAAACTGCTTTCTGATGTTTGCATTCAAGTCAAAAGTTGAACACTCCCTTTCATAGAGCAGTCCTGAAACACTCCTTTTGTAGTATCTGGAACTGGACTTTTGGAGCGCTTTCAGGGCTAAGGTGAAAAAGGAAATATCTTCCCATAAAAACTGGACAGAAGCATTCTCAGAAACTTGTTTATGCTGTATCTACTCAACTAACAAAGTTGAACCTTTCTTTTGATAGAGCAGTTTTGAAATGCTCTTTTTGTGGAATCTGCAAGTGGATATTTGGCTAGTTTTGAGGATTTCGCTGGAAGCGGGAATTCATACAAATTGCAGACTGCAGCGTTCTGAGAAACATCTTTGTGATGTTTGTATTCAGGACAGAGAGTTGAACATTCCCTATCATAGAGCAGGTTGGAATCACTCCTTTTGTAGTATCTGGAAGTGGACATTTGGAGCGCTTTCAGGCCTATGTTGAAAAAGGAAATATCTTCCCATAACAACTAGACACAAGCATTCTCAGAAACTTGTTTGTGATGTGTGCCCTCTACTGACAGAGTTGAACCTTTCTTTTCATAGAGCAGTTTTGAAACACTCTTTTTGTAGAATCTGCAAGAGGATATTTGCATAGCTTTGAGGATTTCGTGGGAAACGGGATTGTCTTCAGGTAAAATCTAGACAGAAGCATTCTCAGAAACTTCTTTGGGATGTTTGCATTCAAGTCACAGAGCAGAACATTCCCTTTGGTAGAGCAGGTTTGAAACACTCTTTTTGTAGTATCTGGAAGTGGACATTTGGAGCGCTTTCAGGCCTATGTTGGAAAGGGAAATATCTTCCCGTAACAACTAGGCAGAAGCATTCTCAGAAACTTATTTGAGATGTGTGTACTCAACTAAGAGAATTGAACCACCGTTTTGAAGGAGCAGTTTTGAAACACTCTTTTTCTGGAATCTGCAAGAGGATATTTGCCTAGCCTTGAGGATTTCGTTGGAAACGGGATTGTCTTCAGATCAAATCTAGACAGAAGCATTCTCAGAAACTTCTTTGGGATGTTTGCATTCATGTCACAGAGTAGAACATTCCCTTTGGTAGAGCAGGTTTGAAACACTCTTTTTTAAGTATATGGAAGTGGACATTTGGAGCGCTTTCAGGCCTACGTTGGAAAAGGAAATATCTTCCCATAACAACTAGACAGAAGCATTCTCAGAAACTAGTTTCTGATGTGTGTCCTCAACTGACACAGTTGTACATTTCTTTAGACAGAACAGTTTTGAAACACTCTTTTTGTGGAATCTGCAAGTGGATATTGGGCTAGATTTGAGGATTTCTTTGGAAACGGGATTACATATAAAAAGCAGTCAGCAGCATTCTCAGAAAGTTCTTTGTGATGATTGCATTCAAGTCACAGAATTGAACATTCCCTTTCACAGAGCAGGTTTGAAAGACTCTTTTTGTAGTGTGTGTAAGTGGACATTTGGAGCACTTACCGGCCTAAGGTGAAAAAGGAAATATCTTCCCATAAAAACTAGACAGAAGCATTCTCAGAAACTTACTCGTGATGTGTGTCCTCAACTAAAGGAGTAGAACCTTTCTTTTCATAGAGAAGTTTTGAAACGCTCTTTTTGTGGAATCTGCAAGTGGATATTTGGCTAGTTTTGAGGATTTCGTTGGAAGCGGGAATTCATACAAATTGCAGACTGCAGCGTTCTGAGAAACATCTTTGTGATGTTTGTATTCAGGACACAGAGTTGAACATTCCCTATCATAGAGCAGGTTGGAATCACTCCTTTTGTAGTATCTGGAAGTGGACATTTGGAGCGCTTTCAGGCCTATGTTGGAAAAGGAAATATCTTCCCATAACAACTAGACAGAAGCATTCTCAGAAACTTATTTGAGATGTGTGTACTCAACTAAGAGAATTGAACCACCGTTTTGAAGGAGCAGTTTTGAAACTCTCTTTTTCTGGAATCTGCAAGTGGATATTTGGCTAGCTTTGGGGATTTCGCTGGAAGCGGGAATACATATAAAAAGCACACAGCAGCGTTCTGAGAAACTGCTTTCTGATGTTTGCATTCAAGTCAAAAGTTGAACACTCCCTTTCATAGAGCAGTCTTGAAACACCCCTTTTGTAGTATCTGGAACTGGACTTTTGGAGCGATTTCAGGGCTAAGGTGAAAAAGGAAATATCTTCCCATAAAAACTGGACAGAAGCATTCTCAGAATCTTGTTTATGCTGTATCTACTCAACTAACAAAGTTGAACCTTTCTTTTGATAGAGCAGTTTTGAAATGGACTTTTTGTGGAATCTGCAAGTGGATATTTGGCTAGTTTTGAGGATTTCGTTGGAAGCGGGAATTCATACAAATTGCAGACTGCAGCGTTCTGAGAAACATCTTTGTGATGTTTGTATTCAGGACACAGAGTTGAACATTCCCTATCATAGAGCAGGTTGGAATCACTCCTTTTGTAGTATCTGGAAGTGGACATTTGGAGCGCTTTCAGGCCTATTTTGGAAAGGGAAATATCTTCCCGTAACAACTATGCAGAAGCATTCTCAGAAACTTGTTTGTGATGTGTGCCCTCTACTGACAGAGTTGAACCTTTCTTTTCATAGAGCAGTTTTGAAACACTCTTTTTGTAGAATCTGCAAGAGGATATTTGCATAGCTTTGAGGATTTCGTGGGAAACGGGATTGTCTTCAGGTAAAATCTAGACAGAAGCATTCTCAGAAACTTCTTTGGGATGTTTGCATTCAAGTCACAGAGTAGAACATTCCCTTTGGTAGAGCAGGTTTGAAACACTCTTTTTGTAGTATCTGGAAGTGGACATTTGGAGCGCTTTCAGGCCCATGTTGGAAAGGGAAATATCTTCCCGTAACAACTAGGCAGAAGCATTCTCAGAAACTTATTTGAGATGTGTGTACTCAACTAAGAGAATTGAACCACCGTTTTGAAGGAGCAGTTTTGAAACACTCTTTTTCTGGAATCTGCAAGAGTATATTTGCCTAGCCTTGAGGATTTCGTTGGAAACGGGATTGTCTTCAGAGAAAATCTAGACAGAAGCATTCTCAGAAACTTCTTTGGGATGCTTGCATTCAAGTCACAGAGTAGAACATTCCCTTTGGTAGAGCAGGTTTGAAACACTCTTTTTGTAGTATATGGAAGTGGACATTTGGAGCGCTTTCAGGCCTACGTTGGAAAAGGAAATATCTTCCCATAACAACTAGACAGAAGCATTCTCAGAAACTAGTTTCTGATGTGTGTCCTCAACTAACACAGTTGAACATTTCTTTAGACAGAACAGTTTTGAAACACTCTTTTTGTGGAATCTGCAAGTGGCTATTTGGCTAGATTTGAGGATTTCGTTGGAAACGGGATTACATATAAAAAGCAGTCAGCAGCATTCTCAGAAAGTTCTTTGTGATGATTGCATTCAAGTCACAGAATTGAACATTCCCTTTCACAGAGCAGGTTTGAAACACTCTTTTTGTAGTGTGTGTAAGTGGACATTTGGAGCACTTACCGGCCTAAGGTGAAAAAGGAAATATCTTCCCATAAAAACTAGACAGAAGCATTCTCAGAAACTTACTCGTGATGTGTGTCCTCAACTAAAGGAGTAGAACCTTTCTTTTCATAGAGAAGTTTTGAAACGCTCTTTTTGTGGAATCTGCAAGTGGATATTTGGCTAGTTTTGAGGATTTCGTTGGAAGCGGGAATTCATACAAATTGCAGACTGCAGCGTTCTGAGAAACATCTTTGTGATGTTTGTATTCAGGACACAGAGTTGAACATTCCCTATCATAGAGCAGGTTGGAATCACTCCTTTTGTAGTATCTGGAAGTGGACATTTGGAGCGCTTTCAGGCCTATGTTGGAAAAGGAAATATCTTCCCATAACAACTAGACAGAAGCATTCTCAGAAACTTATTTGAGATGTGTGTACTCAACTAAGAGAATTGAACCACCGTTTTGAAGGAGCAGTTTTGAAACTCTCTTTTTCTGGAATCTGCAAGTGGATATTTGGCTAGCTTTGGGGATTTCGCTGGAAGCGGGAATACATATAAAAAGCACACAGCAGCGTTCTGAGAAACTGCTTTCTGATGTTTGCATTCAAGTCAAAAGTTGAACACTCCCTTTCATAGAGCAGTCTTGAAACACCCCTTTTGTAGTATCTGGAACTGGACTTTTGGAGCGATTTCAGGGCTAAGGTGAAAAAGGAAATATCTTCCCATAAAAACTGGACAGAAGCATTCTCAGAAACTTGGTTATGCTGTATCTACTCAACTAACAAAGTTGAACCTTTCTTTTGATAGAGCAGTTTTGAAATGGTCTTTTTGTGGAATCTGCAAGTGGATATTTGGCTAGTTTTGAGGATTTCGTTGGAAGCGGGAATTCATACAAATTGCAGACTGCAGCGTTCTGAGAAACATCTTTGTGATGTTTGTATTCAGGACACAGAGTTGAACATTCCCTATCATAGAGCAGGTTGGAATCACTCCTTTTGTAGTATCTGGAAGTGGACATTTGGAGCGCTTTCAGGCCTATTTTGGAAAGGGAAATATCTTCCCGTAACAACTATGCAGAAGCATTCTCAGAAACTTGTTTGTGATGTGTGCCCTCTACTGACAGAGTTGAACCTTTCTTTTCATAGAGCAGTTTTGAAACACTCTTTTTGTAGAATCTGCAAGAGGATATTTGCATAGCTTTGAGGATTTCGTGGGAAACGGGATTGTCTTCAGGTAAAATCTAGACAGAAGCATTCTCAGAAACTTCTTTGGGATGTTTGCATTCAAGTCACAGAGTAGAACATTCCCTTTGGTAGAGCAGGTTTGAAACACTCTTTTTGTAGTATCTGGAAGTGGACATTTGGAGCGCTTTCAGGCCCATGTTGGAAAGGGAAATATCTTCCCGTAACAACTAGGCAGAAGCATTCTCAGAAACTTATTTGAGATGTGTGTACTCAACTAAGAGAATTGAACCACCGTTTTGAAGGAGCAGTTTTGAAACACTCTTTTTCTGGAATCTGCAAGAGTATATTTGCCTAGCCTTGAGGATTTCGTTGGAAACGGGATTGTCTTCAGAGAAAATCTAGACAGAAGCATTCTCAGAAACTTCTTTGGGATGTTTGCATTCAAGTCACAGAGTAGAACATTCCCTTTGGTAGAGCAGGTTTGAAACACTCTTTTTGTAGTATCTGGAAGTGGACATTTGGAGCGCTTTCAGGCCTACGTTGGAAAAGGAAATATCTTCCCATAACAACTAGACAGAAGCATTCTCAGAAACTAGTTTCTGATGTGTGTCCTCAACTAACACAGTTGAACATTTCTTTAGACAGAACAGTTTTGAAACACTCTTTTTGTGGAATCTGCAAGTGGCTATTTGGCTAGATTTGAGGATTTCGTTGGAAACGGGATTACATATAAAAAGCAGTCAGCAGCATTCTCAGAAAGTTCTTTGTGATGATTGCATTCAAGTCACAGAATTGAACATTCCCTTTCACAGAGCAGGTTTGAAACACTCTTTTTGTAGTGTGTGTAAGTGGACATTTGGAGCACTTACCTGCCTAAGGTGAAAAAGGAAATATCTTCCCATAAAAACTAGACAGAAGCATTCTCAGAAACTTACTCGTGATGTGTGTCCTCAACTAAAGGAGTAGAACCTTTCTTTTCATAGAGAAGTTTTGAAACGCTCTTTTTGTGGAATCTGCAAGTGGATATTTGGCTAGTTTGGAGGATTTCGTTGGAAGCGGGAATTCATACAAATTGCAGACTGCAGCGTTCTGAGAAACATCTTTGTGATGTTTGTATTCAGGACACAGAGTTGAACATTCCCTATCATAGAGCAGGTTGGAATCACTCCTTTTGTAGTATCTGGAAGTGGACATTTGGAGCGCTTTCAGGCCTATGTTGGAAAAGGAAATATCTTCCCATAACAACTAGACAGAAGCATTCTCAGAAACTTATTTGAGATGTGTGTACGCAACTAGGAGAATTGAACCACCGTTTTGAAGGAGCAGTTTTGAAACACTCTTTTTCTGGAATCTGCAAGTGGATATTTGGCTAGCTTTGGGGATTTCGCTGGAAGCGGGAATACATATAAAAAGCACACAGCAGCGTTCTGAGAAACTGCTTTCTGATGTTTGCATTCAAGTCAAAAGTTGAACACTCCCTTTCATAGAGCAGTCTTGAAACACCCCTTTTGTAGTATCGGGAACTGGACATTTGGAGCGCTTTCAGGGCTAAGGTGAAAAAGGAAATATCTTCCCATAAAAACTGGAGAAAAGCATTCTCAGAAACTTGTTTATGCTGTATCTACTCAACTAACAAAGTTGAACCTTTCTTTTGATAGAGCAGTTTTGAAATGCTCTTTTTGTGCAATCTGCAAGTGGATATTTGGCTAGTTTTGAGGATTTCGTTGGAAGCGGGAATTCATACAAATTGCAGACTGCAGCGTTCTGAGAAACATCTTTGTGATGTTTGTATTCAGGACACAGAGATGAACATTCCCTATCATAGAGCAGGTTGGAATCACTCCTTTTGTAGTATCTGGAAGTGGACATTTGGAGCGCTTTCAGTCCTATGTTGAAAAAGGAAATATCTTCCCATAACAACTAGACACAAGCATTCTCAGAAACTTGTTTGTGATGTGTGCCCTCTACTGACAGAGTTGAACCTTTCTTTTCATAGAGCAGTTTTGAAACACTCTTTTTGTAGAATCTGCAAGAGGATATTTGCATAGCTTTGAGGATTTCGTGGGAAACGGGATTGTCTTCAGGTAAAATCTAGACAGAAGCATTCTCAGAAACTTCTTTGGGATGTTTGCATTCATGTCACAGAGTAGAACATTCCCTTTGGTAGAGCAGGTTTGAAACACTCTTTTTGTAGTATCTGGAAGTGGACATTTGGAGCGCTTTCAGGCCCATGTTGGAAAGGGAAATATCTTCCCGTAACAACTAGGCAGAAGCATTCTCAGAAACTTATTTGAGATGTGTGTACTCAACTAAGAGAATTGAACCACCGTTTTGAAGGAGCAGTTTTGAAACACTCTTTTTCTGGAATCTGCAAGAGTATATTTGCCTAGCCTTGAGGATTTCGTTGGAAACGGGATTGTCTTCAGAGAAAATCTAGACAGAAGCATTCTCAGAAACTTCTTTGGGATGTTTGCATTCAAGTCACAGAGTAGAACATTCCCTTTGGTAGAGCAGGTTTGAAACACTCTTTTTTTAGTATATGGAAGTGGACATTTGGATCGCTTTCAGGCCTACGTTGGAAAAGGAAATATCTTCCCATAACAACTAGACAGAAGCATTCTCAGAAACTAGTTTCTGATGTGTGTCCTCAACTAACACAGTTGAACATTTCTTTAGACAGAACAGTTTTGAAACACTCTTTTTGTGGAATCTGCAAGTGGCTATTTGGCTAGATTTGAGGATTTCGTTGGAAACGGGATTACATATAAAAAGCAGTCAGCAGCATTCTCAGAAAGTTCTTTGTGATGATTGCATTCAAGTCACAGAATTGAACATTCCCTTTCACAGAGCAGGTTTGAAACACTCTTTTTGTAGTGTGTGTAAGTGGACATTTGGAGCACTTACCGGCCTAAGGTGAAAAAGGAAATATCTTCCCATAAAAACTAGACAGAAGCATTCTCAGAAACTTACTCGTGATGTGTGTCCTCAACTAAAGGAGTAGAACCTTTCTTTTCATAGAGAAGTTTTGAAACGCTCTTTTTGTGGAATCTGCAAGTGGATATTTGGCTAGTTTTGAGGATTTCGTTGGAAGCGGGAATTCATACAAATTGCAGACTGCAGCGTTCTGAGAAACATCTTTGTGATGTTTGTATTCAGGACACAGAGTTGAACATTCCCTATTATAGAGCAGGTTTGAATCACTCCTTTTGTAGTATCTGGAAGTGGACATTTGGAGCGCTTTCAGGCCTATGTTTGAAAAGGAAATATCTTCCCATAACAACTAGACAGAAGCATTCTCAGAAACTTATTTGAGATGTGTGTACTCAACTAAGAGAATTGAACCACCGTTTTGAAGGAGCAGTTTTGAAACACTCTTTTTCTGGAATCTGCAAGTGGATATTTGGCTAGCTTTGGGGATTTCGCTGGAAGCGGGAATACATATAAAAAGCACACAGCAGCGTTCTGAGAAACTGCTTTCTGATGTTTGCATTCAAGTCAAAAGTTGAACACTCCCTTTCATAGAGCAGTCCTGAAACACTCCTTTTGTAGTATCTGGAACTGGAATTTTGGAGCGCTTTCAGGGCTAAGGTGAAAAAGGAAATATCTTCCCATAAAAACTGGACAGAAGCATTCTCAGAAACTTGTTTATGCTGTATCTACTCAACTAACAAAGTTGAACCTTTCTTTTGATAGAGCAGTTTTGAAATGCTCTTTTTGTGGAATCTGCAAGTGGATATTTGGCTAGTTTTGAGGATTTCGTTGGAAGCGGGAATTCATACAAATTGCAGACTGCAGCGTTCTGAGAAACATCTTTGTGATGTTTGTATTCAGGACAGAGAGTTGAACATTCCCTATCATAGAGCAGGTTGGAATCACTCCTTTTGTAGTATCTGGAAGTGGACATTTGGAGCGCTTTCAGGCCTATGTTGAAAAAGGAAATATCTTCCCATAACAACTAGACACAAGCATTCTCAGAAACTTGTTTGTGATGTGTGCCCTCTACTGACAGAGTTGAACCTTTCTTTTCATAGAGCAGTTTTGAAACACTCTTTTTGTAGAATCTGCAAGAGGATATTTGCATAGCTTTGAGGATTTCGTGGGAAACGGGATTGTCTTCAGGTAAAATCTAGACAGAAGCATTCTCAGAAACTTCTTTGGGATGTTTGCATTCAAGTCACAGAGCAGAACATTCCCTTTGGTAGAGCAGGTTTGAAACACTCTTTTTGTAGTATCTGGAAGTGGACATTTGGAGCGCTTTCAGGCCTATGTTGGAAAGGGAAATATCTTCCCGTAACAACTAGGCAGAAGCATTCTCAGAAACTTATTTGAGATGTGTGTACTCAACTAAGAGAATTGAACCACCGTTTTGAAGGAGCAGTTTTGAAACACTCTTTTTCTGGAATCTGCAAGAGGATATTTGCCTAGCCTTGAGGATTTCGTTGGAAACGGGATTGTCTTCAGATCAAATCTAGACAGAAGCATTCTCAGAAACTTCTTTGGGATGTTTGCATTCAAGTCACAGAGTAGAACATTCCCTTTGGTAGAGCAGGTTTGAAACACTCTTTTTTTAGTATATGGAAGTGGACATTTGGAGCGCTTTCAGGCCTAAGTTGGAAAAGGAAATATCTTCCCATAACAACTAGACAGAAGCATTCTCAGAAACTAGTTTCTGATGTGTGTCCTCAACTAACACAGTTGAACATTTCTTTAGACAGAACAGTTTTGAAACACTCTTTTTGTGGAATCTGCAAGTGGCTATTTGGCTAGATTTGAGGATTTCGTTGGAAACGGGATTACATATAAAAAGCAGACAGCAGCATTCTCAGAAAGTTCTTTGTGATGATTGCATTCAAGTCACAGAATTGAACATTCCCTTTCACAGAGCAGGTTTGAAACACTCTTTTTGTAGTGTGTGTAAGTGGACATTTGGAGCACTTTCCGGCCTAAGGTGAAAAAGGGAATATCTTCCCATAAAAACTAGACAGAAGCATTCTCAGAAACTTACTCGTGATGTGTGTCCTCAACTAAAGGAGTAGAACCTTTGTTTTCATAGAGAAGTTTGGAAACGCTCTTTTTGTGGAATCTGCAAGTGGATATTTGGCTAGTTTGGAGGATTTCGTTGGAAGCGGGAATTCATACAAATTGCAGACTGCAGCGTTCTGAGAAACATCTTTGTGATGTTTGTATTCAGGACACAGAGTTGAACATTCCCTATCATAGAGCAGGTTGGAATCACTCCTTTTGTAGTATCTGGAAGTGGACATTTGGAGCGCTTTCAGGCCTATGTTGGAAAAGGAAATATCTTCCCATAACAACTAGACAGAAGCATTCTCAGAAACTTATTTGAGATGTGTGTACTCAACTAAGAGAATTGAACCACCGTTTTGAAGGAGCAGTTTTGAAACACTCTTTTTCTGGAATCTGCAAGTGGATATTTGGCTAGCTTTGGGGATTTCGCTGGAAGCGGGAATACATATAAAAAGCACACAGCATGCGTTCTGAGAAACTGCTTTCTGATGTTTGCATTCAAGTCAAAAGTTGAACACTCCCTTTCATAGAGCAGTCTTGAAACACCCCTTTTGTAGTATCTGGAACTGGACTTTTGGAGCGATTTCAGGGCTAAGGTGAAAAAGGAAATATCTTCCCATAAAAACTGGACAGAAGCATTCTCAGAAACTTGTTTATGCTGTATCTACTCAACTAACAAAGTTGAACCTTTCTTTTGATAGAGCAGTTTTGAAATGGTCTTTTTGTGGAATCTGCAAGTGGATATTTGGCTAGTTTTGAGGATTTCGTTGGAAGCGGGAATTCATACAAATTGCAGACTGCAGCGTTCTGAGAAACATCTTTGTGATGTTTGTATTCAGGACACAGAGTTGAACATTCCCTGTCATAGAGCAGGTTGGAATCACTCCTTTTGTAGTATCTGGAAGTGGACATTTGGAGCGCTTTCAGGCCTATTTTGGAAAGGGAAATATCTTCCCATAACAACTATGCAGAAGCATTCTCAGAAACTTGTTTGTGATGTGTGCCCTCTACTGACAGAGTTGAACCTTTCTTTTCATAGAGCAGTTTTGAAACACTCTTTTTGTAGAATCTGCAAGAGGATATTTGCATAGCTTTGAGGATTTCGTGGGAAACGGGATTGTCTTCAGGTAAAATCTAGACAGAAGCATTCTCAGAAACTTCTTTGGGATGTTTGCATTCAAGTCACAGAGTAGAACATTCCCTTTGGTAGAGCAGGTTTCAAACACTCTTTTTGTAGTATCTGGAAGTGGACATTTGGAGCGCTTTCAGGCCCATGTTGGAAAGGGAAATATCTTCCCGTAACAACTAGGCAGAAGCATTCTCAGAAACTTATTTGAGATGTGTGTACTCAACTAAGAGAATTGAACCACCGTTTTGAAGGCGCAGTTTTGAAACACTCTTTTTCTGGAATCTGCAAGAGTATATTTGCCTAGCCTTGACGATTTCGTTGGAAACGGGATTGTCTTCAGATAAAATCTAGACAGAAGCATTCTCAGAAACTTCTTTGGGATGTTTGCATTCAAGTCACAGAGTAGAACATTCCCTTTGGTAGAGCAGGTTTGAAACACTCTTTTTTTAGTATATGGAAGTGGACATTTGGAGCGCTTTCAGGCCTACGTTGGAAAAGGAAATATCTTCCCATAACAACTAGACAGAAGCATTCTCAGAAACTAGTTTCTGATGTGTGTCCTCAACTAACACAGTTGAACATTTCTTTAGACAGAACAGTTTTGAAACTCTCTTTTTGTGGAATCTGCAAGTGGCTATTTGGCTAGATTTGAGGATTTCGTTGGAAACGGGATTACATATAAAAAGCAGACAGCAGCATTCTCAGAAAGTTCTTTGTGATGATTGCATTCAAGTCACAGAATTGAACATTCCCTTTCACAGAGCAGGTTTGAAACACTCTTTTTGTAGTGTGTGTAAGTGGACATTTGGAGCACTTTCCGGCCTAAGGTGAGAAAGGAAATATCTTCCCATAAAAACTAGACAGAAGCATTCTCAGAAACTTACTCGTGATGTGTGTCCTCAACTAAAGGAGTAGAACCTTTCTTTCATAGAGAAGTTTTGAAACGCTCTTTTTGTGGAATCTGCAAGTGGATATTTGGCTAGTTTGGAGGATTTCGTTGGAAGCGGGAATTCATACAAATTGCAGACTGCAGCGTTCTGAGAAACATCTTTGTGATGTTTGTATTCAGGACACAGAGTTGAACATTCCCTATCATAGAGCAGGTTTGAATCACTCCTTTTCTAGTATCTGGAAGTGGACATTTGGAGCGCTTTCAGGCCTATGTTGGAAAAGGAAATATCTTCCCATAACAAATAGACAGAAGCATTCTCAGAAACTTATTTGAGATGTGTGTACTCAACTAAGAGAATTGAACCACCGTTTTGAAGGAGCAGTTTTGAAACACTCTTTTTCTGGAATCTGCAAGTGGATATTTGGCTAGCTTTGGGGATTTCGCTGGAAGCGGGAATACATATAAAAAGCACACAGCAGCGTTCTGAGAAACTGCTTTCTGATGTTTGCATTCAAGTCAAAAGTTGAACACTCCCTTTCATAGAGCAGTCCTGAAACACTCCTTTTGTAGTATCTGGAACTGGACTTTTGGAGCGCTTTCAGGGCTAAGGTGAAAAAGGAAATATCTTCCCATAAAAACTGGACAGAAGCATTCTCAGAAACTTGTTTATGCTGTATCTACTCAACTAACAAAGTTGAACCTTTCTTTTGATAGAGCAGTTTTGAAATGCTCTTTTTGTGGAATCTGCAAGTGGATATTTGGCTAGTTTTGAGGATTTCGTTGGAAGCGGGAATTCATACAAATTGCAGACTGCAGCGTTCTGAGAAACATCTTTGTGATGTTTGTATTCAGGACAGAGAGTTGAACATTCCCTATCATAGAGCAGGTTGGAATCACTCCTTTTGTAGTATCTGGAAGTGGACATTTGGAGCGCTTTCTGGCCTATGTTGAAAAAGGAAATATCTTCCCATAACAACTAGACACAAGCATTCTCAGAAACTTGTTTGTGATGTGTGCCCTCTACTGACAGAGTTGAACCTTTCTTTTCATAGAGCAGTTTTGAAACACTCTTTTTGTAGAATCTGCAAGAGGATATTTGCATAGCTTTGAGGATTTCGTGGGAAACGGGATTGTCTTCAGGTAAAATCTAGACAGAAGCATTCTCAGAAACTTCTTTGGGATGTTTGCATTCAAGTCACAGAGTAGAACATTCCCTTTGGTAGAGCAGGTTTGAAACACTCTTTTTGTAGTATCTGGAAGTGGACATTTGGAGCGCTTTCAGGCCCATGTTGGAAAGGGAAATATCTTCCCGTAACAACTAGGCAGAAGCATTCTCAGAAACTTATTTGAGATGTGTGTACTCAACTAAGAGAATTGAACCACCGTTTTGAAGGAGCAGTTTTGAAACACTCTTTTTCTGGAATCTGCAAGAGTATATTTGCCTAGCCTTGAGGATTTCGTTGGAAACGGGATTGTCTTCAGAGAAAATCTAGACAGAAGCATTCTCAGAAACTTCTTTGGGATGTTTGCATTCAAGTCACAGAGTAGAACATTCCCTTTGGTAGAGCAGGTTTGAAACACTCTTTTTGTAGTATCTGGAAGTGGACATTTGGAGCGCTTTCAGGCCTACGTTGGAAAAGGAAATATCTTCCCATAACAACTAGACAGAAGCATTCTCAGAAACTAGTTTCTGATGTGTGTCCTCAGCTAACACAGTTGAACATTTCTTTACACAGAACAGTTTTGAAACACTCTTTTTGTGGAATCTGCAAGTGGATATTTGGCTAGATTTGAGCATTTCGTTGGAAACGGGATTACATATAAAAAGCACACAGCAGCATTCTCAGCAAAGTTCTTTGTGATGATTGCATTCAAGTCACAGAATTGAACATTCCCTTTCACAGAGCAGGTTTGAAACACTCTTTTTGTAGTGTGTGTAAGTGGACATTTGGAGCACTTTCCGGCCTAAGGTGAAAAAGGAAATATCTTCCCATAAAAACTAGACAGAAGCATTCTCAGAAACTTACTCGTGATGTGTGTCCTCAACTAAAGGAGTAGAACCTTTCTTTTCATAGAGAAGTTTTGAAACGCTCTTTTTGTGGAATCTGCAAGTGGATATTTGGCTAGTTTTGAGGATTTCGTTGGAAGCGGGAATTCATACAAATTGCAGACTGCAGCGTTCTGAGAAACATCTTTGTGATGTTTGTATTCAGGACACAGAGTTGAACATTCCCTATCATAGAGCAGGTTTGAATCACTCCTTTTGTAGTATCTGGAAGTGGACATTTGGAGCGCTTTCAGGCCTATGTTGGAAAAGGAAATATCTTCCCATAACAACTAGACAGAAGCATTCTCAGAAACTTATTTGAGATGTGTGTACTCAACTAAGAGAATTGAACCACCGTTTTGAAGGAGCAGTTTTGAAACTCTCTTTTTCTGGAATCTGCAAGTGGATATTTGGCTAGCTTTGGGGATTTCGCTGGAAGCGGGAATACATATAAAAAGCACACAGCAGCGTTCTGAGAAACTGCTTTCTGATGTTTGCATTCAAGTCAAAAGTTGAACACTCCCTTTCATAGGGCAGTCCTGAAACACCCCTTTTGTAGTATCTGGAACTGGACTTTTGGAGCGATTTCAGGGCTAAGGTGAAAAAGGAAATATCTTCCCATAAAAACTGGACAGAAGCATTCTCAGAAACTTGTTTATGCTGTATCTACTCAACTAACAAAGTTGAACCTTTCTTTTGATAGAGCAGTTTTGAAATGGTCTTTTTGTGGAATCTGCAAGTGGATATTTGGCTAGTTTTGAGGATTTCGTTGGAAGCGGGAATTCATACAAATTGCAGACTGCAGCGTTCTGAGAAACATCTTTGTGATGTTTGTATTCAGGACACAGAGTTGAACATTCCCTATCATAGAGCAGGTTGGAATCACTCCTTTTGTAGTATCTGGAAGTGGACATTTGGAGCGCTTTCAGGCCTATTTTGGAAAGGGAAATATCTTCCCGTAACAACTATGCAGAAGCATTCTCAGAAACTTGTTTGTGATGTGTGCCCTCTACTGACAGAGTTGAACCTTTCTTTTCATAGAGCACTTTTGAAACACTCTTTTTGTAGAATCTGCAAGAGGATATTTGCATAGCTTTGAGGATTTCGTGGGAAACGGGATTGTCTTCAGGTAAAATCTAGACAGAAGCATTCTCAGAAACTTCTTTGGGATGTTTGCATTCAAGTCACAGAGTAGAACATTCCCTTTGGTAGAGCAGGTTTGAAACACTCTTTTTGTAGTATCTGGAAGTGGACATTTGGAGCGCTTTCAGGCCCATGTTGGAAAGGGAAATATCTTCCCGTAACAACTAGGCAGAAGCATTCTCAGAAACTTATTTGAGATGTGTGTACTCAACTAAGAGAATTGAACCACCGTTTTGAAGGAGCAGTTTTGAAACACTCTTTTTCTGGAATCTGCAAGAGGATATTTGCCTAGCCTTGAGGATTTCGTTGGAAACGGGATTGTCTTCAGAGAAAATCTAGACAGAAGCATTCTCAGAAACTTCTTTGGGATGCTTGCATTCAAGTCACAGAGTAGAACATTCCCTTTGGTAGAGCAGGTTTGAAACACTCTTTTTTTAGTATCTGGAAGTGGACATTTGGAGCGCTTTCAGGCCTACGTTGGAAAAGGAAATATCTTCCCATAACAACTAGACAGAAGCATTCTCAGAAACTAGTTTCTGATGTGTGTCCTCAACTAACACAGTTGAACATTTCTTTAGACAGAACAGTTTTGAAACACTCTTTTTGTGGAATCTGCAAGTGGCTATTTGGCTAGATTTGAGGATTTCGTTGGAAACGGGATTACATATAAAAAGCAGTCAGCGGCATTCTCAGAAAGTTCTTTGTGATGATTGCATTCAAGTCACAGAATTGAACATTCCCTTTCACAGAGCAGGTTTGAAACACTCTTTTTGTAGTGTGTGTAAGTGGACATTTGGAGCACTTACCGGCCTAAGGTGAAAAAGGAAATATCTTCCCATAAAAACTAGACAGAAGCATTCTCAGAAACTTACTCGTGATGTGTGTCCTCAACTAAAGGAGTAGAACCTTTCTTTTCATAGAGAAGTTTTGAAACGCTCTTTTTGTGGAATCTGCAAGTGGATATTTGGCTAGTTTTGAGGATTTCGTTGGAAGCGGGAATTCATACAAATTGCAGACTGCAGCGTTCTGAGAAACATCTTTGTGATGTTTGTATTCAGGACACAGAGTTGAACATTCCCTATCATAGAGCAGGTTTGAATCACTCCTTTTGTAGTATCTGGAAGTGGACATTTGGAGCGCTTTCAGGCCTATGTTGGAAAAGGAAATATCTTCCCATAACAACTAGACAGAAGCATTCTCAGAAACTTATTTGAGATGTGTGTACTCAACTAAGAGAATTGAACCACCGTTTTGAAGGAGCAGTTTTGAAACACTCTTTTTCTGGAATCTGCAAGTGGATATTTGGCTAGCTTTGGGGATTTCGCTGGAAGCGGGAATACATATAAAAAGCACACAGCAGCGTTCTGAGAAACTGCTTTCTGATGTTTGCATTCAAGTCAAAAGTTGAACACTCCCTTTCATAGAGCAGTCCTGAAACACCCCTTTTGTAGTATCTGGAACTGGACTTTTGGAGCGCTTTCAGGGCTAAGGTGAAAAAGGAAATATCTTCCCATAAAAACTGGACAGAAGCATTCTCAGAAACTTGTTTATGCTGTATCTACTCAACTAACAAAGTTGAACCTTTCTTTTGATAGAGCAGTTTTGAAATGCTCTTTTTGTGGAATCTGCAAGTGGATATTTGGCTAGTTTTGAGGATTTCGCTGGAAGCGGGAATTCATACAAATTGCAGACTGCAGCGTTCTGAGAAACATCTTTGTGATGTTTGTATTCAGGACACAGAGTTGAACATTCCCTATCATAGAGCAGGTTGGAATCACTCCTTTTGTAGTATCTGGAAGTGGACATTTGGAGCGCTTTCAGGCCTATGTTGAAAAAGGAAATATCTTCCCATAACAACTAGACACAAGCATTCTCAGAAACTTGTTTGTGATGTGTGCCCGCTACTGACAGAGTTGAACCTTTCTTTTCATAGAGCAGTTTTGAAACACTCTTTGTGTAGAATCTGCAAGAGGATATTTGCATAGCTTTGAGGATTTCGTGGGAAACGGGATTGTCTTCAGGTAAAATCTAGACAGAAGCATTCTCAGAAACTTCTTTGGGATGTTTGCATTCAAGTCACAGAGTAGAACATTCCCTTTGGTAGAGCAGGTTTGAAACACTCTTTTTGTAGTATCTGGAAGTGGACATTTGGAGCGCTTTCAGGCCTATGTTGGAAAGGGAAATATCTTCCCGTAACAACTAGGCAGAAGCATTCTCAGAAACTTATTTGAGATGTGTGTACTCAACTAAGAGAATTGAACCACCGTTTTGAAGGAGCAGTTTGGAAACACTCTTTTTCTGGAATCTGCAAGAGGATATTTGCCTAGCTTTGAGGATTTCGTTGGAAAAGGGATTGTCTTCAGATCAAATCTAGACAGAAGCATTCTCAGAAACTTCTTTGGGATGTTTGCATTCAAGTCACAGAGTAGAACATTCCTTTGGTAGAGCAGGTTTGAAACACTCTTTTTTTAGTATATGGAAGTGGACATTTGGAGCGCTTTCAGGCCTACGTTGGAAAAGGAAATATCTTCCCATAACAACTAGACAGAAGCATTCTCAGAAACTAGTTTCTGATGTGTGTCCTCAACTAACACAGTTGAACATTTCTTTAGACAGAACAGTTTTGAAACACTCTTTTTGTGGAATCTGCAAGTGGATATTTGGCTAGATTTGAGGATTTCGTTGGAAACGGGATTACATATAAAAAGCAGACAGCCCTTTCTCATTTTTATTTGTGTATCTTATGTAGGTCTTTTCTTTGTGGTTACTGTAGAATTACATAAAAACATCTTATAATTATAATAATCTATTTTAAATTGACAACAACTTAACTTTAATCACATACAAAAACTCTACTTCTTTACACCTCCTTCTCACTTTGTTATCAATGTCACACTATATATTTTATATTGTTTATTCACATAATTTAATACAGTAATATTATGCTTTTACCTTTTAAATTCTATGCTTCAATTAAAAGTGAATTACAGGCTGGGTGTGGTGTCTCACACCTGTAGTCCCAGCACTTTGAGAGGCCAAAATGGGAGGATCACTTGAGCCTAGGAGTTTGAGACCAGCAAGGCCTTATCTCTTCTAAAAATTTAAAAATATTATCTGAGTGTAGTGGTGCATGTCTGTAGTCCCAGCCAGGGAAGATATTTCCTTGTTCACCTTAGGCCGGAAAGCGCTCCAAATGTCCACTTACACACACTACAAAAAGAGTGTTTCAAACCTGCTCTGTGAAAGGGAATGTTCAATTCTGTGACTTGAATGCAATCATCACAAAGAAGTTTCTGAGAATGCTGC